>NC_000005.10:176212660-176363106 GCF_000001405.40 Homo sapiens | reverse complement strand
TTGTATTTTAGTAGAGACGGGGTTTCGCCGTGTTGGCCAGGATGGTCTCGAACGCCTCAGCCTCTGAAAGTGTTGGGATTACAGGCCTGAACCACCGTGCCCAGCCAGAAAAAGTTGTTTTAATCAAATAGTAACTTCCAGGAAAGTCTTAAGTTTTCATGTATTTGTGGCTAAGAAATAAATGAGATGATCCCACCTTATGATCTACATAAGGGTGCAAAGTGCTATTTCTTCCTTTTCTGACTGAGAGGTGATATACATCCCTTCCTGTGGTGGATAAAGAGCAAGGTGCCAGCTTTGCTTCCACAGAGGTTAAAAAATATGGCATATTTTAAAAGCTCCAAATTAACAAAGGAACACCTTTAACACACACACGCACGCACACATATACACACAATTATACTGCAATGTAATTGTGCTGTTGATAAGCTAATTATAGAATTCATCAAAGACTTTAATTCTTAGTGCACTCAAGCACCCTGGTCTGGAAACAGCGCTTAAGTTTCAAGTCGCATGAGCAAGGCCTCTCAGTTCTGCCAGTACGGCTGGAAGCCTCAAATGCTGAAATCTAAATGTGACATTCACCCTGCACCACCAATCATAGCTCTCCTGAGATGAGTTTTGATGGCGAGCTTTGGACTGGGGTAGAAACGTGGATAGATTTTTGCAAATTCTGCTGTAACTTCGTTGCTTCGCCTTCTTTGTGAACCCTTCAGGGATAAGAGAAGTCTTCCTTCAGGATGTGACTGACACCTCAGCTGGCGCCTCTAAGCCTCACTCTCCTTTATGTAAAAGAGAAATGATATTAGGATCGCCTTCCCTAGGGGAGGCAGGTGAGGTCGGTTCCCTTTTTTGGTTCAGCTACTAGTACGAACCCTGCCTAACCCCGCTGTTTTGGGAGACAGTCCGTGCTCACTGCACCGCTTGCTAATCGAAGTGACTTCTCATCTCTCCCAGTCTCAGCTTCACCTCCGTGAAGTGGGAAAAACAGGATGACAAGTGCTCGCACTTGGCAGCCCTTTTTGAGCCTTGAGGGCTTGGGTTTGTGGGTGTCATTTTACTATGCTACCTCCGTCTTCCCTTAGCTTGTCACGGACCCAGGCACAGCACACGCGCTGAGGAAGTGGTGGTGAAGTGTGGCGTTTCCTCTCGGGGCTGGCGGATTCCACACTCGGAGCTGCGGCTCCACAACTCGCTGGGCGGCGAAGGGCATGGGGAGGGGGCGGGTCTCGCGATCGTGGACAACAACTCCCAGCATGCCCTGTGCTCCGCTGGGCCAAGTCTCGCGCGAGATCCCGCGGTCTCCGGAGGCTTTATCTGCAGTGCTGCCTGCCCGCTGGGTGGTACTGCTACCTAGTGGGTCTTGGGGACCTTCGAAATCGCCGCCGCTCTCACAATGGCTTGGGTCCAGACTGCGCCACAGCCTCTCGGGAGACGTGGGCCCTCGGAACCTTTTTAGTGCCGGACTCCGGGCCGCAGGCAGTCCCGCGGCAGCAGGATCACAGGTGAACAGATGGCGGGCCTGGGCCCTCCCTTGGGGCTGCGTTCTCTGGCGATCAGGAGGGGCGCTTCCGGCGAGGCCCGATCTCGGGGCCCCTCCAAGCCACTCCCCTCTCCCCGCACCTCTTAACCCTTCATCCCGGCTTCGAGCTCGGCTGGGTCGCCTCTTGCCTCCCTGGCTCCGCTCTCTGGGGTCTCCGTAATGGGGCTTCTCTCCGGGAATGCCCTGCAGCTCCCGTACGGGCTTCCCCTCCGCTTCGTGGGACCAGCCCAGCCCGAGCCCCCGCGGCTTGTCCTCAACCTCATCTCCCCACACCCCGCCTTCGGCTAGGGTCCTGGCCCTAATCTTAGCCTGGAGGGGTGGGTGAAGCAGCCGGCCTTTCGTATCCTGGCGGCACCGTCTTGTATATTGTGAAGGAGAGGCAGAGGGACGGTGAGCTGGGGGGTGGGGGCACAGGGAAAGGGAAAGGGGAAGGGGACGTGTCTGGGGCGGGAATGCTCCCTGGACTGGGAGGATGGCTGAATTCGGCCTTTGCGATGCTCGTTAGTGAAGAACTATCAATAACTTGTTTGCTCTGTCTGAGTCCTATCGGGATAGAGGGACGGTGTAGCAAGCTGAAAAACAAGAGTAACTTTCTCAGGCCCTCGTTTTAACTCCCCTGTAAACTGGGCATGAAACTACCTACCTTGCGCACGGACCACTTATCTGTGACCGTGGACAAATTTACTTAACTCCTCTGATTTTTAGTTTCCTTCTCTTTATTATTATTTTTAACATTTTTTTAATTTTTTTAATTTTTATTTTTGAGACCGAGTCTCACTCCGTCGCCCAGGCTGGAGTACAGTGGCTCGATCTCGGCTCACTGCAACCTCCGCCTCCCGGGTTCAAGCTATTCTCCTGCCTCAGCCTCCCGAGTAGCTGGGATTACAGGCGCCCGCCACCATGCCCGGCTAATTTTTGTATTTTTAGTAGAGATGGGGTTTCACCATGTTGGCCAGGCTAGTCTCGAACTCCTGACCTCAAGTGATCTGCCCGCCTGGGTCTCGCAAAATGCTGGGATTACAGGCGTGAGCCACCGCACCCGGCCAGTTTCCTTCTCTTTAAATTTGGGATAGCCTTTCTGTAAGAGATAGCTTAAAAAAAAAACTGGGGTCGGGCGCGGTGGCTCACGCTTGTAATCCTAGCACTTTGGGAGGCCGAGGTGGGCGGATCGCAAGGTCAGGAGATCAAGACCATCCTGGCTAGTGCGGTGAAACCCCATCTCTACTAAAAATACAAAAAATTAGCCAGGCGTGGTGGCAGACGCCTGTAGTCCCAGCTACTTGGGAGGCTAAGGCAGGAGAATGGCGTGAACCCGGGAGGTGGAGCTTGCAGTGAGCCAAGATCGCGCCACTGCACTCCAGCCTGGGCGACAGAGTGAGACTCCGTCTCAAAAAAAAAAAAAAAAAAAAATTGGGATTGGGATAAATAATATCTGCTTTGCCATCTTGCTGCAAGGATTAAAAGACAAGATAAACGCTGTAAATAGTTTATAGTGTTAGCTATAAAGAACAAATTTCCCTACTGTAGTATCTAGCCGCTTGCTGTGAGTTAAGAAAATGAAATGAGCAAGGTTGTTGTGGGGAATAAACAAGTGTTTGGCAGACTCTGACGGGCTGTTCCAATGCTGGCTGTTTGTTGTTATTAGAACCTCTGGATGGACTCTTCCTGGGAAGCTTTGCTACTTTGCAGCAGCTGGACCATGTTCCTCATTAACATCTGTCTGTCCGCTTAGTCATCACATCATTTCACTGTGGTAAGGTGACTTTTTCACCATGTATGGCATCTTAGCTCTGTCATCTCACAGGTGTTAAGATCAGCCACAGGTGTGGTGAGACGTTTGACTTTATCCTTCTTTTTTCATTGGCATGTTTGTCACCCACTGGCTCTTGCATGTGTGTTTCAACCTTGTAAACAAGCCGTTCAATTCTGTGTGCCTGCCAGAAGAACAGCATTGGTGCTGCTCACCATAAGAAAATGCCCTTTGTTATTTTATTAGGTGGCAGGGACTCAGCTCGGAATTCTGTATAGAAAAAGCACCTGGATCCCAGTCTTTCAATGGCTTCAAGACAACCAGAAGTGCCTGGTAAACTTAATTCTTTTTGGTAAAATCATGTTTTGCCCTTATTAATGTTTTAAGCTAGACAGAAACCATTTTATCGGAACTATATATTAATGGTTAATCTCTGCTACCAAGCGAGTATTTAGATTTACTAGATTGGCTTATTTTATTTTATTTTATTTTTTTGAGATGGAGTCTTGCTCTGTTGCCCAGGCTGGAGTGCAGCGGCACAATCTCGGCTCACTGCTACCTCCGCTTCCTGGGTTCAAGCCATTCTCCTGCCTCAGCCTCCCCAGTAGCTGGGATTACAGGTGCCCGCCACCACACCCAGCTAATTTTTGTATTTTTTGTAGAGACGGGGTTTCACCATATTGGCCAGGCTGGTCTGGAACTCCTGACCTTTTTTTTTTTTTTTTTTTTTGAGACAGAGTCTTGCTCTGTCGCCCAGGCTGGAGTGCAGTGGCGCGATCTCAGCTCACTGCAAGCTCCGCCTCCCGGGTTCACACCATTCTCCTGCCTCAGCCTCCCGAGTAGCTGGGACTACAGGCGCCCACCACCATGCCCAGCTAATTTTTTGTATTTTTAGTAGAGACGAGGTTTCACCGTGTTAGCCAGGATGGTCTCGATTTCTTGACCTTGTGATCCGCCCGCCTCGGCCTCCCAAGGTAATGGGATTACAGGCGTGAGCCACCGTGCCCGGCGGAACTCCTGACCTTGTGATCTGCCTGCCTCGGCCTCCCAAAGTGTTGGGATTACAGGTGTGAGCCACCACGCCCAGCCAGTTTTATTTTATTTTTGAGTCTCACTCTGCTGCCCAGGCTAGAATACAGTGGTGTGATCTCAGCTCACTGCAACCTCCGCCTCCTGGGCTCAAGTGATTCTCCTGCCTCAGCCTCGAGTAGCTGGGATTACAGCTGCCTGCCACCACGCCCGGCTAATTTTTGTATTTTTAATAGAGACAGGGTTTCTCCATGTTGGCCAGGCTGGTCTCAAACTCCTGACCTCAGGTGATCCTTCCACCTTGGCCTCCCAAAGTGCTGGGATTACAGGTGTGAGCCACCACGCCTAGCCTTAGATTGGCATCATTTAAATATTTTATTAGCCGCTCAGCCATAGTATGAAACTTTAACTTAAAGAGAATAGTCACTTCATTTAAGGGTATTATGACAAGTTTGTTACTTTCCTAGTTATCAAATAATAATTCAGAATAAGTTGTGCAGTTCTTGTAGTATGTACCAAAGTGATTAAACTCACCTTTTTGGGGGTGATGGGGAGGTGGGATGGAAGTCTTGGTAAAAAGGCACCAGCCTGCTTAAATGGCAGATTGAACTTAATCATGAAAATGCTCACAGCAACCCTTAATGAGTCAAGTTCTGGGTTATTGACACCATTGATGACTACTTGAATTGTTTTATGAGAAAGGAAAGTGATTTTTAATTACATCTGAATCGCTTAATTTCTGATTCTCGGTAAAGTATGATGATGAAGAAAGATGATGGTTCCTATCTCTCGGGGTTGTGAAGATTAAACAAAATATGTAAAAACAGGAGTTAAAAATCAGTGATAAATATGTATTTACTGCCCAGAATGCATTTGGTCTGTCTTTATATGAACATATTTTCCAGTAAATACTAGCTGACTTTATTTGTTTTAGGATGGCTGTTCAGTGGGAGTCTTTAAGATGTTTTTGAAATTGCTCCCCAAGTCTCCCGTATTCCCCAATATAGATCCATCTCTAGTCTTAACATCATCAGCTCCGTTTTAGTTTGTCTTTCATTGTTGCTGTGATTACCACAAACTCCGTGTAGCCGTCGCGAGCCATAGGATTGTGCCCATTCAGTGAATGCTTTGTAGTGTGTTGCATGCAGAGTGTGTGCACCGGCTCAGGTCTGTGTTCCAGTTCCCAGCACACTCTTTCAAGCTAGGTGATATTGGGCAAGTTGATTGTGAAAATGGAAAATTTGAAAATGGGAAGAATATCTGCTTCATGAGGATTAGATAAGATGAGGGATGTAATTGTCTAGCAAGGAGGAAGACTTAGTAATTATTATTTGCTTGTGTGTGTGTTTGAGATGTAATGCACATATCATAAAATTCACCCACTGAAAGTGAACAATGTCGTGATTTTTAGTATATTCACAGGGTTGTGCAAACAACACTACGATCAATTGCAGCACATTTTCTTTTCTTTTCTTTTTTTTTTTGAGATGGAATCTCGCTCTGTTGCCTAGGTTGGAATGCAGTGGCACGATCTTGGCTCTCTGCAACCTCCGCCTCCTGGGTTCAAGCAATTCTCCTGCCTCAGTCTCCCAAGTAGCTGGGACTACAGGCACGTACCACCACGCCTGGCTAATTTTTGTATTTTGAGTAGAGATGGGATTTCACCATGTTGGCTAGGCCGGAACGCCTGACCTCAGGTGATCCACCCACATCAGCCTCCCAAAGTGCTGGGATTACAGGTGTGAGCCACCACACCCATCCAAACTGCAGTACGTTTTCATAACCTCCAAAGGAAAACCTCGTACCATTAGCAGTCGTATCCTCACTCCCCCCACCCACTCCCTGGCAACCTCTAATCCTCTTTTTATTTCTATGGTTTTGTTAATTATTACTAATAGCAATAGTAATAATAATGATAGCTGCTTGGTCCCCTTGCCGTTTAAATGAAACCTTTTGTGGTTTTGGACTTATTGCCAGGCAGGTTGATGTCTTAGAGAGTGTTATTATATGATTTTAGCCACAGGAAAATGTTACCTTTCAGGTAGGTTCTGGACATTAGTTCTGATATGCAAGGATTAGCAAACGAAACACAATGAACTTGGCTCCCTGGTCTGGCACAGCTGAGAGTGCCCTTGAATGGGGTGGCTGCATCACAACCCGACATGCTGGGCGTCAGTTCCAGTGGACAGGAATGGCAGGATCAGCTGGTGATTTGTGAGAGTGGTTGTCAATAATTTCTGTGATGGAAAGTGACTCTACTGTTTAAATAAATCATACAGAACAGTGATGCCACAAACATTTCTGTTAGTGCTGGTGTTTTCTTTGGTGAGGAAAGGAAGGTAGAGGATTCACAGACCTTGGCTGAGCCCCAGGTAGCCATTTTCTGAATGAACTTGGGAAGGTCACTTTACCCCTAGGCCTTAGTTTCCTCATCTATGAAATGGGAATGAGAACTTCGTATCCTCGGTCATTTCATATCCTCAGTCTTGCACGAACTGAGAGCCTTAGTATTGCAGTAGGGGGTGGCTTCTGTGGGATAAAGGACACAGCTTTGAAATCAGATAGGTTTGGTTGGGATTGGATTCCAAACTGTACTTTGAAGTTGTGGTCAAGTACCTTTAAATGGAACTTCAGGTTTCCTGATCCATGAAAATTAGCTGGACATGGTGGCACATGCCTAGAATCCCAACTACTCGCTAGGCTGAGGCACTTGAGCCCAGGAGGTTGAGCCTGCAGTGAGCCGTGATCGTGCCGCTGCACTCCAGCCTGGGCAACATAGACTGTGTCTCTAAACAAATAATAAAAAAAAAGGATTAGGACGGCTGAGTGGGTTAAGTGGACCACCCAAGGTGTCAGGCATAGAGGAAGGGATTGGTACCACTGCCTTTCCTGGATGGGATTAGCTACTCCAAAACAAGCTATTTTGCTCTGTTCAAGAACAAGAGTATTTCAGAGCTTTCCTTCCTGTAGATTAATTTAAAGCTGCTAGTATGTCCAGTTGCTGAACCTGTCTTGACAGGTGTCTCTGTTCTTAGCTCTTGAGGCTAGTGCGCCTCTAGGCAAGATGTCCCTGCCCATCGGGATATACCGCCGGGCAGTCAGCTATGATGATACCCTCGAGGACCCTGCGCCCATGACTCCTCCTCCATCGGACATGGGCAGCGTCCCTTGGAAGCCAGTGATTCCAGAGCGCAAGTATCAGCACCTCGCCAAGGTATCTGACCCTGCTGGCCATTTCTGGCATACGCAACCCCTTTGTCCTTCCTCTGCTCC
This sequence comes from Homo sapiens, assembly GCF_000001405.40. Lineage (NCBI taxonomy): Eukaryota > Metazoa > Chordata > Mammalia > Primates > Hominidae > Homo > Homo sapiens. Next base: position 176,355,511 of record NC_000005.10, on the reverse strand, counting down.
AGAAGCCTTCAGTGGCTCCCTGTGCCCATGGGACTGGGCAGCAACCACTCCCTGTATGTGTTTTCTGTGCCTCAGTTATAGCTGTCTTTTTTTTTTTTTTAAGATTTTATTTATTTTGTTAAAAAAAAAATCAGTAGCTTTAGGGTTACCCGAGGTGTTGTTCGCATGGATGAATTGTATAGTGGTGAAGTCTGGGCTTTTAGTGCACCCGTCACCCGAATAGTGTACAGTGTACCCAATAGATGGTTTTTTAAATCTCCCTCCTTTTTTTTTTCTTTTTAATTCAAAACTAGAATGGCCTTGTCTGCTCCTGAGACTCTTCATATTCCCCACAGAGCTAAATCCAAGCTCAGCATGATCCACAGTCCATGTGATCTAAGTCCTGCCTGCATCTCTCCAGCTCCCCTACCCAGTGCTTGAACTGTGCAAGTTACCTAAAATTCTTGCACTTAGCAGCGTATTTTCTGCCTGTCAGTTTTTGGCTCACACTGCCCTGATTGTTTAGGATGTTTGCCATCCACATCCTGTCCTCTCACCTTTTCTCCCACTCCATTTGCCTGAAAACTGGTATCCTTTAAGTCTTAGCTCAAAAGTCTCTTCTGTGACAGTTTTCCTGACATCTCCGTCCTCCTGATAAGGCCATCACCTCTCCCTCTGAGCTCCCCACGGTACCATGGTCCCCGTCGTCATCCCTGCATTGCTTTCTCGCCCTCCATTAGCTTCCTGAGGACAGGGGCCATGTCTAGGTTTGTACTCTTATCTGCAGGATCCAGCCGATGGCCTGGCATAGATTCCCAAAAACTGCTCATTTTGTGATTGGGGAAAAAAATTGGCCCTTTCTTGAACACATGCTGTACCTGTCCTCATGCTGTACCTCCAGCCTCAGCTGCCTTTGCCCATGGCCATCCTCTGTAAGAACTGCCTCCTTCCTAAGGCCCTTCCGAACATACCTCACAGTCCTTCGTGCAGTCTAGTTTCGTAGGTTCGCATTATTGGAGCCTCTGCTTCCCGACCTCAGGGACTCTCTCCCCTCTGACTCTCCAGCCACCAAGAATACAAGAAAGGCTAGACTGTTGCCTGAATAAAGTAGGCCCGCCAAGTTCACGTAAGGCTGTTTAACCTGTAGCTACAGTTTCTCTGAACTTTGAGCCACATGGTAGCTCAGGGCCTGACAGGCAGTACACAGTAAGGGTCCACTGAAATAGGCCTGGGTGTGAGTCCCAGGTGGTCTGCCCTAGCAAGACCTTGGGCACACAACTTTACCCTGAGCCCCAGTGTCTCTCTCTGAGAGTTGGGAATACCTTATGTCATAGAGGTGTTGTGGGGATTCAGTCAGGGGATGTAAAGGGTTGGCACATTGTGTATTAGCTGTGTAGCTGATATTATGACTGCAGGCTCCCTGCTTAACTTTCTCTTAGTAGAGCCATATTTGATAATTTCTAAGGAGTGTTTTTCCCCCCGCCTCCAACAGACTTTCAGGGCAGACAGCTCCTTTCTAAGAAAGTGCCCCTACAGCTCTGGGGGATATTCCCTCTATCAATTATCTACTGAAATATGACCCAGTCAGTTGTTCAGGGAGAGTATTCCATGTAACAAGTAGCAAAAGTGCAGGGAGAAAAGGCCTGCTGCAGCTTGCCTGTGATGTCAGAGCAATGGGCTTTAGGGTCCAGAGCAGGAGGTGAGCAGGGCTTCTGGTGGTGCTTGCCAGGCCACACACCCTGCTGATGGCTCCACAAGGCAAGGGATGAGCGGGCTTCCAGATTTCTTCTGGGCCTCAGCTGGAACAGCTGATGGCTTGGAACAGCTGCTCCAAAGGAGAGCTCCGCTTGACTCATTGCATGCGATCCTATTCATTTGCCCTAACTCTCCCCATGTTAGGAATCAACCGTCTTCCCAGTAAGGAAACAGGCTCAAGTTTTACTCAAGGTCACAGCTTAAAGGTATAAATTCTGTTTTGTAGTAAGGATACAACATTTTTCATTACTTTTTATCTGTCCCCCCTTTTCAACCATCTTACTTTCTTCTCAGTTCTTCCAGACAAGCACAGAATAAAGAATAAGTCTTGTTCTCTCCTCCCTGCTAGGCCTGAGCAAGGTATCAGGTGTTTCGATTGCAGAAGGTGGAGGCTGCCAGCTCTTGCAGGTTGAAAATGAGGAGCTAAGTAGATTTTTTTTGTTTGTTTCAAAAGACCATTACTTGAACCTTGGGAGCAGTGGTCCTCAAGGTGTGGTCTTGGGACCGGCAGCATCAGTAACACCTGGGAATTTATTAGAAAGAAATTCTTGAACTCCACCCCAGACTAACAGGGACCTACTGAATCAAACTCTGAGGTGGAGCCCGGCAGTCTGTTCTAATGGCTGGCACAGGGTCAGAACCACTTAGCCAGTGCTCTCATCAATTAAGATCTAGCATAGTGCCTGGGATGTGGTCAGTGCTTCGTAATAAGCATTTCTTCTGCATTCTTAGGGCATAGTACTATAGTATATCGGAAGATCATAGTCTGGGAAGGTAGTAGACGTCAGAGCTTCAAATTCTGGCTTTCCCACCTTTATAAATGTAAACTATTCACCTAATGTCTTTCTTTGTTGTCTCTATGGATAATACCTATCTAGCTGGGTGGAGATGACCAACTCCTCCCTTCAATGATTTCCTCACTTACCAGATTAATGTTATTTCAGTAACTTCCTCCCCAAAGGAGTAAGTTTAGGTGTGTGACTCCCCTGCCCTGCCTAAGTGCTTCTGTACTGTACCTCTCTTGAACAGGTGGAGGAAGGAGAGGCCAGTCTACCCTCCCCTGCCATGACCCTGTCATCAGCCATTGACAGTGTGGACAAGGTCCCAGTGGTGAAGGCTAAAGCTACCCATGTCATCATGAATTCTCTGATCACAAGTAAGCACTCTTCACCCTCAGAGTAGAGTGCCATAGGGGCAGGGAAGAGTTGAGGCTTCCTACAAGCTGATTGGAGATGATACTGCAACACGCTCGCCTTACCTTATCCTAAAAAATGTCAGTTTGGCTGCTGAATCATGTCAGTATTGAAGCTCCATTTATTAAGTGGAAGATTTGCCAAATGTTAAGCATCTTATCTGATTTAGGTGCATTCCTGCTGCTTTGTTGATATGATCTCATGTTCCCAGCTCTGTCACTGTGGCCTTGGGCAAGCTACTTAACTACAGAGACTGCCCCGCTCTAAAATGGGGAATTTCACTGGCAGGTTGAGGTGAGGATCAGAAGGCCCAGTGCTCAGTGGCGGCAGCTGCTGCTGTTACTGTTTCAAGCTCTGCTGGAGAAGGGGAAACATCCGGGCATTTCCCACTTACCCCAGTTTTTGTTTTTTTTTTTGTTTTTTTTTTTTTAAACAGCTCAAAGTTGGTCTACCAGGAAGAGGACCAGGTCCAAGTGTCTTTAGTCTTAAGAATGTATGATTGGTCATCCTAATGAAACCTGATATGAGAACTTGGATTTTTTTTTAACCTTATAACAAGCTAACTAAACTTCTTCATTCTGGAGGGCTGTACAGGTTGCTGTGGGAAGTTAACAATTAGATACATGGCTCTGTTTGTCAGCAGTTGTGCCCCTACCAGGGTAAGGTACATAGAGGTTCTCCTTGGTTGGCTCATTTTTGAAGTCAGAAGCCCTTGTTTATCTTCTCCAGGAGGGCATCAGTTTGTCCTGGGCAATTCCTAGTGAATTCACCAAGAACCAAAGGTCCAGACTCTTACTTTGGTTTCTCTTCTTTTTTTTTTTTGTTTTGAGACAGAGTCTCACTCTGTCACCCAGGCTGGAGTGCAATGCTGTGGTCTCAGCTCACCACAACCTTCGCCTCCCAGGTTCAAGCAATTCTCCCACCTCAGCCTCTGGAGTAGCTGGGACTACAGGCGCCCACCACCACGCCTGGCTAATTTCTGTATTTTTAGTAGAGATGGGGTTTCACTCTGTTGGGCAGGATGGTCTCAAACTCCTGACCTCGTGATCTGCCCGCCTAGGCCAACCAAAGTGCTGGGATTACAGGTGTGAGCCATCACGCACCACCTATACTTTGATTTTCTTATTCACATCTGTTGAATCAGCAACACTACTTTTATTTTACAAGCTTGAGAATGTGTTCTAGCAGTGTTACAAAACTTATTCATTGTTCTTTTAGCACAATGTAACTTTTTTTTTTTTTTTGAGATGGAGTCTTGCTCTGTCGCCCAGGCTGGAGTGCAGTGGCACGATCTCGACTCACTGCAAGCTCCGCCTCCCGGGTTCACGCCATTCTCCTGCCTCAGACTCCCGAGTAGCTGGGACTACAGGCGCCTGCCACCACACCCAGCTAATTTTTGTATTTTTAGTAGAGATGGGGTTTCACCTTGTTAGCCAGGATGGTCTGGATGTCCTGACCTCTTGATCCGCCCGCCTTGACCTCCCAAAGTGCTGGGATTACAGGTGTGAGCTACTGCATCCAGCCCCATGTTGCATTTCTAAATACAAAGAAAATGTCACCATGTACAACTAAGAGGAGGGTGGGAGTATTGTCCTCAAGGTTCTTCAGCTGTCCCTTTAGGAATAACCTCTTCAGCTTGGTGTGAGGGAAGGCTTCCTTCTGGCTAGAGAGCCTTTGTGTGAGGTTCAGAATTACTGCTGTGGTGCCTCTCTGGGGAAAGTCTCCTCTTCTTTGAATGGTCAGTGTGGTCTCTTGCTTCTGGGGAGAATAGTAGATATCCATGTTGTCCTCCTTATTTTGTGATGGGAGAGGGGAATGGGCATGACTGTCATCTCCTCTGTTCCCAGAACAGACCCAGGAAAGCATTCAGCATTTTGAGCGACAGGCAGGGCTGAGAGATGCTGGCTACACACCCCACAAGGGCCTCACCACCGAGGAGACCAAGTACCTTCGAGTGGCCGAAGCACTCCACGTAAGCTCTTAGGAACTTTGAAAAAACAAAACCTTCAGTGTTCATGGCTTGAAATGTGGCTGTGGTTTTGAAGTTACCAGCTCAGTTAGTTGGGGGCTGTGGAGTTAGTCTCGCTCCCGAGCTCTTAGCCTCGTAGTTTTTGCTTATCCACCTATACAGTGGGGTGTCTGTTTTGCTACTTCTGGTTAGCAGAATCAAGTGAGAGCCTCAGCTTACATATACATAGGAGTACTTTATGAATCATAAAGCAAATGTGGAGTATCTTGGGGAGAACTGGGCAGCCTCAACAGAGGTAACAGCTTAACTGGAAAGGAACAAGTTAAAATCAAATGTGGAATTGGAATGTTTTTGCTATTTCATTTCTATAAGTGAAGAATTTTGGTAAGGGTTAATTTAGTGATAGCCAAGTATTTGAATGAATAGTTTCAAATGACTTTCTTTCAGTGAAGACCGCTTCATACTGGATAGTGTTTTATGATTGTGAAGCACTTGCATTCATTTCATCCTCACAATCACCTTTTGGGACAGATGCTCTTCTCCATATTTTGTAAATGAGGAGATTGAGGTTCGAGGCCATCTATTCAGCCAGTCATAGTACCCGAACCCAAGTCTCCTGATGCCTTACTTCCTGTTGGCTTCTTCCTCCTCATTCCAAAGCAGCCTGGAAATCTGGCTCCTGAAGGGGCTCATATGGAAGTCAGGGGCAGATTGTGAAGAGACACAATTACAGTTAAGAAACTTGGGCTGTCTTCTTTAGGCAAGGGGGGGTCAGAATCCAGGCTTGTTCCAAGCTTTATTTTAAGAGTTCTGAACAGGGTATGATGAGGGCAAGGTGAGGAGAGCACACGACGCAGGAAAGAATCATGGTATACATTATACATAACGAGGAATAACCCGGATCTGGTGGCCTGTGGGTGGGGATATAAAACTGTGGATATAAAACTGTGGCCTGTTTGCAGTCACCCAGGCTGGAGTACAGTGTTGTGATCTCGGCTCACTGCAACCTCTGCCTCCCGGGTTCAAGTGATCCTCCCAACTCAGCCTCCCAAATAGCTAGGATTTACAGGCATGCGCCACCATGCCCAGCTGATTTTTAGTAGAGATGGGATTTCACCATGTTGGCCAGGCTGGTCTTGAACTCCTGACTTCATGTGATCCACCTGCCTTGGCCTCCCAAAGTGCTGGGATTACATGTATGAGCCACCGCACCCGGCCCTGTTTGCATTTTGTAATGAGCATTCCAGATGATTCTTTTGCAGGCTAGGTTTAAAAACTGCTATAGGAAATCAGGTTTGGGCTGGTGGCCAGTTTAAGCTTTCAAACAAGACAGAAGCTTCCAGAGAGGGGCACCGGCAGCCTTTGACCCTTAACTGAGAACTTTCCAGGATAGGTCAGTGAGAATTCTATTTGAGCAATTCACCTTATATAATGGTAGGATTGACTTTGGTTGACCCACTTTCTGTGTCTTGCCCATAGGAGTAGAACATGAGGATGGCTGAAATATTAGCTGTAACTTACATCTTGTAACAGATTGTCAACTTACATGAATGGATCTGTTGAGCGTTTGAGAAAATTCAAACGTGATCATTGTTTGGTGTGCAGCTTGGGTTAAGCAGTGGCGTGGCAGGCCTGGAGGGAGGAAACAGCATGGGAACCTTGCTCTAGAAGAGCTGAGATGTAGACCTGTCTCTCCCCACTAGACTGCGAGTCAGAGGAATGCTCACGGTGCTGAGGGAACCCAGAGTGGCTGACTATGGGAGAGAAGGAGGAGAGAATGGAACAGGCTCCTCAGAGGAAGCATTTAGCTGGAGAGAAGCAGCATGCCTGAGTATTGGCTTGGAGAGACTGAGGATGGGCAGGGCTTTGTACATGGTAGGAGCAGCAGCGAGACAAGAGCTTAAGCCCTGCTTAAAAGGCCAAGAAGGCTGGCAGCTAGCGTTCTGGCTCTTCCATTTTACTGTCTGGGGGAATGTGGGGAAATTACTTCACGTTTCTGAAAGTAAAAGTTGTAGTGTAAAGCTTTAAGTACAGGGATGTTCATGATATAGTGTAGAATGAACACATTTTTTAAGGAGATGGAGTTCCATCTAGTATGGCAAAAACAAAGGACTACCTGTTAGATCATCCGAAATCATTCCACCTGTAGATGTCTTCTGCCTAAAGTTAGAATGCGAACCAAATTTTTTATGCCTAGACTTATCTGTTTGGAATTTGCTTTCATTTTTAAAAAGTCTCTCTTCTTACCCATCTGAGCAGAAACTAAAGTTACAGAGTGGAGAGGTAACAAAAGAAGAGAGGCAGCCTGCATCAGCCCAGTCCACCCCAAGCACCACTCCGCACTCTTCACCTAAGCAGAGGCCCAGGTGAGCCCTTCCTGTGACCCTTCCGAGTTCCTGCGTGCTTCAGGAAAGCTAGTGTGGCAGATGAGGTTGTATTTAAGCCTGTGGTTTCAGAGGGAGAAGGGATAGTTCCCTGTTCTTTTGGTGTGAGACATTTCTAGGGGCGAAGGAAGAGGTATTTTAGGATATGTTTTGTTCTTTCTTTCCCAGGGGCTGGTTCACTTCTGGTTCTTCCACAGCCTTACCTGGCCCAAATCCTAGCACCATGGACTCTGGAAGTGGGGATAAGGACAGAAACTTGTCAGATAAGTGGAGCCTCTTTGGACCGAGATCCCTTCAGAAGTACGATTCTGGTAAGGCAGCACCTTCAAAAAAGAGAGCAGCATGGCAGACATCTTACCATATTGTATACCGGGAGCTGTTTACTGGTTTTGAAATCATTTGCACTCTGGTTCACTTTTGTAGGAAGTTTTGCCACCCAGGCCTACCGAGGAGCCCAGAAGCCCTCTCCATTGGAACTGATACGTGCCCAGGCCAACCGAATGGCTGAAGATCCAGCAGCCTTGAAGCCCCCCAAGATGGACATCCCAGTGATGGAAGGAAAGAAACAGCCACCACGGGCCCATAACCTCAAACCCCGTGACCTGAATGTGCTCACACCCACTGGCTTCTAGAGCCCTCTTTCCAGGGATTCTGGTAAAGGTGGTTTCTTGCATCCCACTCCCCTTTTACCTTGGCTTTGACATAGGAAAGGTATATTTAAAAACTTAATCAGCTGGGCGTGGTGGCTCACGCCTGTAATCCCAGCACTTTGGGAGGCCAAGGTAGGTGGATACCTGAGGTCAGGAGTTCAAGACCAGCCTGGCCAACATGGTGAAACCCCGTCTCTACTAAAAATACAAAAATTAGCTGGGCGTGGTGGTGGGCGCCTGTAGTCCCAGCTACTTGGGAGGCTGAGGCAGGAGAATCGCCTGAACCCAGGAAGCAGATGTTGTACCGAGCTGAGATCATGCCATTACACTCCAGCCTGGGCGACAGAACGAGACGCCATCAATAAATAAATAAATAAAGTAAAGTAAAAAACCTATTAAATTGAGGCTAGAGCTGGAGATGTAATTGGTTTTTGAGAAACATTAGTATAAAGCTTGCCCTTGTTGTGTGGAAGAAGCCATTTTGTACTGCTTTAAAGTTAGACTAATATTCTCAGCACGGGTGTATGGGGACCTCATTACCTATTTTTTTCATCATTTACCCTAGGTAAGAACTTTGATCACTGCTTACTAGGTAAAGAATGTTTGTACTGTTCCAAAACCCAGGCTTCTTTATTCCTTTACCACTATCCATGTGAGCATTGACAAATCATGGCTTAGAGGTGCTCACTGACTCGCTAAGACGACTTTGGCCCTGTTGATGACTGGTGCTGTGCTCCAGCCTTATCAGTTAGGGGACCCAAGGTTTGTTTGGGACCTGGGTACAGGTAAAAGCCAGACTTGGCAGGGACCCCTCTTTCTAGGCTGAACCTTGAGTCCCCCTGCTTTTTGGCAGACCTAATGGATCACTGTCTTGCAGCTAGTTCTTCATGTGGGGCCTCTTAGGCCAGTGCCGGAGGAGGCATGCTCCTCTTTCTATGCCACAGAACAAACACTACTCTAGCAGAGCCTTTCTTGCACTTTAAAGTGAGATTAATTTAGCTGTAATTTGGTTAAAAACTTCCTAAGAGAGAAAATTAAGTCTACTGATTTGGTATAGGTAAATGGACATTAAACTTTTTTAAAGTAAAGGAGATGGTAGATACCGTTAGATTATAGTCTTGAGGTTCATGTGAAGCCAGTGGTGTTAACTTACTTTGATTTCCTTGTTCAGGTCAGGGCCTGGAACGCCTGTGCGGGGAGGTCACTCAATTCAAAATTTTCTGTATGAAAGCATTTTTCACCAAAATGAGCCTCATCCCTTTATGCAACACATAACCTTACTGAGGGAGGGAAATACAGAAGCCACCTTTTTATTTCTCTTCACTGTGTACAAGTTCACTTGTTGTCTTGAACACTGTCTCAAATACCTGCTTTTTGTTTTGGATAGTACCTTGTCTGTATAAGAAGCTGGCCTTTCCATAGAGAGGCCCTGGAGTCTAAAATTATGAGAACAATTAATTTATTTGTGTCTTCTATTATGATCTCGTTTTGACAATAAAAATCCTTACTACTTTCTCAAATGTGGCTATTTTTTTGTCCTTTTAACAATAGTTATTCCACTCTACCCACCCAGAGTCACACTGAACTTGGTATTTTGAAAAACCATTGCCTTTTTATTGTCTCCTTTTAACATCAAATGTTTTATAACACACTTGATCCTTTTGTTTCTACCCCCTATTCATTACAGTCAAATTAACAGGCAATATAATAGGTCTAACAGAATGCTTGCATTTCATTAGGGAAAAATGAACGTCTCTCTCCTGAAACAGGTTGTCGGTACCTTGAATGACATAATATTGGTGTATAGACTAGGTTCAGCAGAGGGATTTTTTCCACATCTTGAATGAAAATGTTAAACATGTGATGCACAGAGTATTAACCTGTTTCAAAAAAGTATAGATAAATAATTTATTAAAAAATATATATACCTTGTATATTTAAGCCATATTTGAGAACAGGCTAGGATAGGATTATTTAAAAAAAGATATTTACTAGAGTTAGAAATTACAACCTACTGATTAAATAATGCAGGTTTGGTCCTGTAAGATTTTAACCACTTTTCATGCTTTTAGAGCTTCTGAGCAGTTGGAGAGAGAGTTCAGGAGGTATTCTTGGCATTCAGTGCTTGGCAGGCCCTCAGGAGCCGCTCCAGCCCTTTTGAAAGGGCTCTGCATCAGGGTTCAAGTCCGCAGCATAGAAGAGCAGGAGCTTCAACAAGTGCACTTTGTCTTGGAGTTGGGGGACAAGAGGCTCCCCCAGCATCTGGATCAGGCGGCTGCGGAAGGCCTCAATCTGCTTCTCTACGTCTACCACTGTGATGTCATCTCCTTGCTGGGGTTTGGGCTTAATCCTTTTGATTATTAAGTCCTTTCGGTCGATCACGGAACTCCTTAAGTGTTCTGCAAGAGGGAAAAAAGTCAGTTGGGTGCTCTGAACTGCTTTTTAATTCTTTTTAAGAAGTCTAATTTTGGTAGGTAGAGTCTTGGCAAAGACTTGCTGACTAGCTACAGGGATACAAGTCGAAGGCTGTGTGAGTGCCTGCAGTAACTCCACTTCCAAAAGGCCCTTTGTTCTCAGTTCTCTCGGGTCCTTAAGAAGTTTTACATTAAAAAAAGTGATATGGTTTGGATCTGTGTCATTTTTTATGATCACATAACATGGTCAAAAAATGAAAATACTGAGGAAACAATTAGACATATTCATCTAGTCCATGTTTTAGCCAATAGTATTTAACATGAGTATGATCATGAATAAACAACTAGACAGTCCCAAATTGTAATCCCTGATGTTGGAGGTGGGGCCTGGTGGGGGTGATTTCTCATGAATGGTTGAGCACCATCCCCTTGGTGCTGTTCTAGTGATGGTGAGTTATCATGAGGTCTGGTGGTTTAAAGTGTTTACGTAGCACCTCCTCACTCTTTATTCTGCTGTGGCCACGTAAAACGTGTCTGCTTCCCCTTGAGCCACGATTGTGTTTCCTGAGGCCTCACTGGAAGCAAAGGCCACTATGCCTCCTGTACAGCCTGTAGAACTGTGAGCCAACTAAACTTTTCTTTATAAATTACCCAGTCTCAGGTGTGTGTGTGTGTGTGTGTGTGTGTGTGTGTGTGTGTATACTCCTGACCTCAAGTGATCCGCAAGCCTCGGCCTCCCAAAGTGCTGGGATTACAGGTGTGAGCCACCGTGCCTGGCCTACTCCATGTTCTTGTCAACAGTATTTAACATGAGTGTGATCACGAGTAAGCAATTAAACATCCCAATCATAGGACATGTACAAAATAACTGGCCTGGACTCTTAAAAAATGTCTATTATGAAAGACAAGTAAAAGCTGGGAACTGTGCTGGACTAAAGGAGACCAAAGAGTATGACTGCCAAGTACAGTGCTTCATATTTGACCGTATCCTGGCTCAATCTAAAATCAACTACCTAAAAAGTATATTACTGGGACACTATTAGATAATATTCTATCAAGAACAAGTTTCATGGCAGGCTGTGGTGGCTCATGCCTGTCATACCAGTGCTTTGGGAGGCGGAGATGGGCAGATCACCTGAGGTCAGGAGTTTGAGACCAGCCTGGCCAACATGGTGAAACCCTGTCTCTACTAAAAATACAAAAAAATTAGCTGGGCATGGTGGTGCATGCCTGTAATCCCAGCTACTCGGAAGCCTGAGGGTGGGAGAATTGCTTGAACCCGGGAGGTGGAGGTTGTAGTGAGCCAAGATCACACCACTGCACTCCAGCCTGGACGACAGAGCTAGACTCCGTCTCAAAAAAAACAAAACAAAACAAAACAAAAAAACAAAAAAAGAAAAGTTTCGTGAGTGTGATAATGCACAGTGGTATGAAGTACAATATCCTTACGCTTAGGAGATACATGCTGAACATGCTGAAGTACTTAAGCAATACAATTATGATGGCGCACTTATCAACTGTTTCAGAAAAAATGGTATATACATGGATCAATAGGTAAACCAAATGTGTCAAAATCTTAGAAGCTAATGAATCAGCGTAAACGGTATATATATGGGCATTCGTTATACTATTCTTTCTACTTTTCCGTAGGTCTAAAAATGAAAATAGGAAAACAAAAAGTTATAAAGGTATCTCATCCCAAATCTACAGGCCAGCCCCAATAGATTCTAGAAGTGTGTGGAATTGAGGCAAATGAGCAGAAGGTCACATTAGGCAAATGTATTGAGAGAGTTCTGGGGACTTGAAGACTTCCAGTTGCACATAAGTACACCATCATTTCTCAGTCTCCTCATTTATCAAACGGGGATGATGGCACTTTCACTAACAGTTATTAAAAGGACTGAGCTACACTGTATCCAGATTTAGGACACAGAACAAATCATTTTAAGTGGTATATCAGGTTACATTTTAAGCGGTTTATCAGGTTACATTTTCAAGTAATACATTCAATATGTTTTTTCTCAACCTTCAGATAAAATGATGGAAAAGCAAAATCTCTCAAAACTAAAGTCTGTAATCTGTGAAGAAGTACAGTAAGTATACAACAGCATGTTCAAAAAGTCTGGAAACACAGGAAACAAAGCTGCCTTGAGATGGAAGTGCAAGGCCCTTTCAACCTTCAAACAGCACACATTTACTGAGCACCTACTGCATATCAGGAACTGGCTAGAGTCTGGGGACACAGTGGAATTTAGAGCCTTGGGCCCAGTCCTTGTGGACTGATATTCTAGTTGCAGGAAGCCTGATGATAAGTTAGTCAACAATATTGATTATAGTTTGTGGCAAATGCAATCAAATAAATAAATCAGATGCTGTGATAAACAGTAACACTGAGGGGAATAAGGGAAGCAGCCCACTCTAGCCACGGAGGGTCTGTGAGCTGAGTATTGACGGATGAGGAGGCAACCATGCAAAGGTCAAAGGGAAAAGCAGTCCATGGAGAACAGCAATAGCAAATGTCCTGAGGAAAAGCATGCTTAGAGAACAAGACAGAAAATCAGGGTAGGAAGCCTTCTGCCGTGGTAAGACGCAGCAAGAAGTCCTTCCCGGGTGCAGCCCCTCGACCTTGGACTTCCCAGCCTCTGGAACTGGGTGGAAGCACTGGGGATGCATATACCACGTTAATGGCATCCATGGAAGGCAATGAAAATTACATTTGATACTTAAAGTGTTTCAGCTAACATAAGGTAATGACTTTATAAATCGAGAAACTTAAAAAAATCAGAGTAATAAAAGGGAGACAAGTACTAGATGAGATTGGAAGGTAGGGTAGGCCACATTATAATGTGGAGTTTGGCCTTTGAGAGCAAACAGGGTATCTATAGACTTAGAGGGTTGTAAATAGGGAAATATGAGCTGTTTTATTTGAGACTAGTTAGGAATTGTCTTAGGAAGAGCCTTTTTGTAGACTTTGATTTTCTTAAGGCATGTGCCACTCTGAAAAATACAAAAATGATTTTGAAAGAAGTGGAAAAAAAGTTGACTGAATAGGGTGGGACAGGGGAAACTTAGAGGGCAAGCAAGAAGAATGTGGAGTTTATTAAATCATGCAGGAAAGTTAAAGAAGCAAATGTTAGCAGTGCCCATCTCAGCACTGTCTATGGGGGAGGAAACCCTGGCCAGTGGACTTCAGCCCTGCTGGTCTAGTCAACAAGGCCTTGGATTTTATGCTTCGGTAGGGATAAGAGTTGTTATGTCAGAGGTTGCTGATTACTGTATGAGGACATTTAGCATTGAAAAGGGTTTGAGCCATAATGCCTGGCTCAAGATATTTCAGCTGATAGTATTGTTAGTAGTTTTGGATCAATACAAGAGTTAATTATTATTTCATCATCATCATCATCATCATCATCATCACTATAGGAATCTCCTACCTAATATGTCAAACCTGAGCTCTTCATCTTCTTTGCAGATCTTTCTCCATATCAGTAATGGCAGAACCCTGGGAGTCACCCTTCAGACTCAGTCACTTAAGAGCCCTGTCAAAGTTATCTTCAAAGTGCTTCTGTCCCATCCACTGCCTTCTCCACTGTCCTTCTGTCCTTGCCACACCCTTGTCACCATTACCCCTCCCCTGGCCCCTCTGGCCCTCTGCCAAATGATTCGCTACACATCAGGTAGAGCAGCCTTTAAATTTGCAGATCTGATCATGACACTCCCTTACTTGGAACCAACCACTTTGATGGCTTCACTCTGTTATTAGAACCAGCTGAATTTCCTTAGCATGGCCAAGATGGCCCTTCACAACCTCCTCCATGGACTATTCTAGTCTCATTTAGTGTTATTCTCCCCTTACTCACTACATCCTTGCCCTGCTAGCTTGTTCTATGTTCCTTGGACTCACTAAGCATCTTTTTGCCTCAAGGCCCTTGGACATTCAGTGCCTTCTTTCTGGAAAACTCTTGTCTCCCCATTTGCCTGGCTAACACCATTACTTCATGTCTTTTATTTATTTCTTTTTGAGATGGAGTCTTGCTCTGCTGCCCAGGCTGGAGTGCAGTGGCACGATCTCAGCTCACTGCAACCTCTGCCTCCCGGGTTCAACCAATTCTCCTGCCTCAGCCTCCCAAGCAGCTGGGATTACAGGCACCCACCACCACGCCTGGCTAATTTTTGTATTTTTAGTAGAGATGGGGATCTGCCATGTTGGCCAGGCTGGTCTTGAACTCCTGACCTCAGGTGATCCATCCACCTCAGCATCCCAAAGTGTTAGGATTACAGGGGTGAGCCCTTGCGCCCCGCCTACTTAATGTCTTAGATGAGGTATCACTTCTTCAGGGAGGCCTTCCTGGATCCCTCCAAAAATAGATTTTGTGCACTTGTACTTCCTTCATAGCATTTACTCTATGTAACTATAGGTTACTTGTATCATTATTCATTTAGGATCAATCTCTCCACTAAACAGTAAGCTCTGTGAGGGCAGATGCCATGCTGGTCTTATTCATTAAGGTTTTCCCAGTGAGCACAGAGGACAGAGAGGACATTCAGTAGATATCTGTTGCCTGGATAAATATATGAATTGAACTGATCCTACCTGCTTCTGCTTTTCCCCGTCCGTGGACAGGGCTCCTTGCAGGGAGACCGTGTGTGTGACTGGCCTCAGAATGACTGTGACTGACTTCTGCAAGCTATGCTGGCCAGATAAGCAGGATTCAGGAAAAGCATGCATTTGTTCATTGAAATATTATATGTTCAAATCCCTAGAATTCATACTCATAAACTCCATGACAGGCAGCACTTTGTAATTTTGCTGAGGCTGAAACTTGAGCCACATGGCTATGCAACTGGGGTGGGGGGGATTGATTCTCTCGGCCAAAGAACAAGAACATGAGCTCAATTGACAGCCCAGAATCCGTGTCTCTGACAGACCTGTTTGAATCCTAGCTCTGCATTTGCTTTTCTCTCAGCCTTTGTTTTCCCATCTATAACAGGGGGTGATACCTTCACAAGGTTTTTGGATTATATAAACCAGTGCAGGTGAATTTACCTAATCTCTTTTCCTTTCTTCCTCCATGCTGAGAGTTCCCCTAAACAAAAGGAAAGCTTGGGCTCTCTAATCCCTTCCCTTCTTCTCCCACTCTTGCAGCTAGACAACTAGTGGAGCTAGACAACTCAGACTGATCTCAAAATGCCCTCAACAACATCCACAGACCACTCGCAGAAGGCAGAGATGAGACGAAGGGCCCTCACAGTAAGATGCTTACTGACTGACAAGGACGCTGACTATTGCTGGGTACCATTCGGCTGTGTTCTTTGCAGGACAATGTTTTCAAACTACTAGTGCTAATTTTCCTCCTTCCTAACTCTTGGACCCCAAAGAAGCTGGAACAAACATTTAAGGATAAAACAGCACTGCAACACACCCCATTTATTCTTGGTCAATATATACTGGTTTGAGGCCTTTCTCTCTCTTATCAAAACATAAAAAATATTCTGTAATAAAAGTAGATTCCGTTTCCACCTTAAGTCATTATTGCCCATGATAGGTGTATTCCCCGGGAATCAAAATAGAAAGGAACAAGAAATGTTAAAGGTGAACTTTAAAACAAGCTGTTAATATTAACCTTTCTGGTAATCTCCAAAACAATTACATAAGCCTCACTGAGGGTAAGAACACATGGAACTTGCCTTCGGGTCTTTGTTTGGAGAAGGACATGCACCTTTCTTTGAGGGTGCTACAAATGCACAAACTGCACAACCACATATCATGCATGGACTGGACAACATACTCTTTTATTTTTTTTGAGACAGAGTCTCACTCTGTCGCCAGGGCTGGAGTGTAGTGGTACGATCTTGGCTCACTGCAACCTCCACCTCCCGGGTTCAAATGATTCTCCTGCCTCAGCCTCCTGAGTAGCTGGGATTACAAGACCCCGCCACTATACCCAGCTAATTTTTTTGTATTTTTAGTAGAGACGGGGTTTCACCATGTTGGTCAGGCTGGCCTCGAACTCCTGACCTTGTGATTCGCCCGCCTCGGCCTCCCAAAGTGCTGGGATTACAGGCGTGAGCCACCATGCCTGGCCGACAATGTACTCTTTTAAGTGTGAGTTACAACAGTCTGAAACACAGAGAAGACCCTTAGCCTACCTCTGCCCAGGGACGCAGGAAGACAGATTCAATGAACATTAAACACATTACTTTTTTCACTCATTAATAATCCTTGCAAGTTACATACTATCATCCCCATTCTATAGAAGGAAGAAACCGAGGCCTAGAGACACAGTTAGCTGCCCAACACTGAGTAAATGGTGAAGTTCGGATTTAAACTCAGACTTTCTGTCTTAAATCCAGTACTTTTTTTTTTTTTTTAAAGTCTCTACAACAGCTTTCTCAATTCCTGGCCTGAGAGGGTCTGAGAGCTATCTTACTTTCCCAAGTGCCATTACTGAGTTAAAATAAACATAAATATGATCATGGGCAGGTGTATTTCACTTGTATACTTTTTTCCCTCACTATTTGGGAATAAGTTGCAGACACTATACCCCTCTACCCCTCAATACTTCAGTATGGATTTCCTAAGGCCAAGGACATTTACTATCATAATCCAGTATGATTATCAAAAATAGGGAATTTAATATGGACACAATAATGTTATCTAATCTACTAAAGTTTTACCAATTGTCCGAACAATGTACTACAGCCTTGCCCTGCTAGTTTGTTCTATGTTCCTTGGACTCACACTAAGCAACTTAGTGTGTCCTAGAGCCTCAAGGCTCTAGGACATGCTGTTCTTTCTTTCTGGAAAACTCTCGTCTCCCCATTTATGACTTCTTTTCTCCTGTTCAGGATCCAGCCTAGGGTCATGCCTTGTATGTAGTATTTATGTGCTTTAGTTTCTTTTAAATGTGGAAGAGTATCTCAGTCTGTCTTTGTTTTTAAAACACTGGCACTTTAAAAAAGTACAGGTCAGTTATTTTATAAAAGGTCACTCAATCTGGTTTTGTCTGAAGTGTCCTGGCCATTGGATCCAGGTCATGAACTTTTGGCAAGAACATTACATACATGATGATGCATCCTTCTCCGTCAATCACATCCAGGAAGAATGCCAGGTTTCTCCCCTAGCAAGTTACTATTTTTCCTCTAGTAATTAATAATTCATCAGTTCTTCAGTTTCCCCACAGGCCTCATTAATCCTTGGCTAATAAAATCATTCTCATTTGAAGCAGCTATTCCATCATTATCCTGGTCAACATTTACCTTCTGAGGGTTACCTGGTCTAACTCTCCTACATCGTCATTGGTCACTGGCTTCACCTGTGACCCAAGCAGCTCTGAAGAGCCACTTTCATAGACTTAGAGTACCTTACATCTTCTGCAAGATGTACATGTTCACCTTGCTCCTGATTTGCTCTGTACTTACATTGTATTGACGGATGTTTACAATGTTTACAATGTCCACAGTCAGTGAGCAAAGATGCTGCAGTGACAGGCCAAGGGAGGATGCCAGGGGTCTTCAGGCATTCCTGAGTCCTTCTCAGGTTCTGATGACTTCTCTTTTTTTCCGCCCCCCTTGAGACAGGGTCTCACTCTGTTGCCCAGGCTGGAATGCAGTGGCATGATCTTGGCTCACTGCAACCTCTGCCTCCTGGGTTCAAATGATTCTCCTGCTTCAACCTCCTGAGTAGCTGGGAGTACAGGCATACACCACCACGCCTGGCTAATTTTTGTATTTTTAGTAGAGACAGGGTTTCACCATGTTGGCCAGGCTGGAGGTTCTGATGACTTCTGCTTACCTACACAATCTTACAACTATGAGGACCATGTATTGTCGGCCATAACAAGAATATGTGAATTCTTTTCACAGTGGTGACTCCGGCTATGTCATTTCTTATCCCTTATAATAAGTTACATACAACCAAGGAACAATGTCAACAAATCAGAATATCCTGTGTAGTTATGACTAATACAAATGTCCATTGAGACCTTCCACTACTCCACTTGTGAACAAATGCTCCTTACCTCTTAAAACATGTTGATAACTGGACAGCAGAAACTGCAGATGCTCAACCAATTCGTCCCAAGTCTGCCACTGGCTTTTATCTGACTGCAGAGATAGTAAAATGGATTGATAATAAATGCCTTCCCCAGTTAAAATTTTTGTACAGTTTTCAATTCACCTTTACAGAATGCTCAAACAGTTGTGTTTTAAGCTAAAATCCTATGGGAAGGGTTCGGGCCTAGAGCAAAGAGAGGTGCTCTAGGCCTGAAATTGGGCAGGAAAAAATGTACCTGACACTTGAGCAGTGACGTAGAATTATTCAGAAAGTAGAGGGCCTGGGCCAGAGACAGAGGCAGGCGGGTGGGTGTCTCACAGCTGTGGAGGAATATGATTTCTAACACTTTGCAGCGCAGAAGGTGGCTTTCCATGGTAGTAAAGAACATTTCTCTGTGTGGAGAAGAGGAAGAGGGAGTTAATCATCACAACTATGCTTCAAAGAACATGAGCCACAATTCACCCTGAATGTACAACATTTGTCCTAAAAAAGACAGTTAAGAAGGAATACCATGGAAGCCCACAGAATCACAAAACCTGTGGACAGGGTAGAAATGGGTTTGTTGGATTAGCAACTGCTAGAATGAGGAAAAAGTCTTTCACATTTGACAAAGACAAGTTTAGGACACATTAAAAATAATTACTACACATTGTCACTATGAAAATTAATCATGAGAATATTTCTGAATGCCAATGATGTGCCAAATACTATTTGGCACAACAAGGAATATTAAGATAAATAAAAGGAACCACTCTCAAAAAGCTGATAGTTGAACAGGGGCAAGGGGTATGCAAAAGGAACTTTAAAAAGTGCAGGGCAAGTGTACTTGTATGCAAAGTGCTAGTGGTGCTCCAGAGATACACAGAAGAGAGCACATTTGGGGACTGGAAGTGGCCTTCCTATGGAGGCAGAAGCACTGGTGAGAGTGGTCTACGAGGGGCAAAAAAGGCTCAACGCAGGAGGTATTTCTCTCTTTCTTTCTCTTGCTTTCTAATCTCTCTCTCTCTCTCTCTCTCCCCCTCCCTGCCTCCCTCCCTCTCCCTTCATCCCTCACCCCACCCCTGCCTTTCTGACAGGTCTCACTCTGTCATCCAGGCTGGAGTGCAGTGGTGTGATCATCACACACTGCAGCTTCAATCTCTTGGGCTCAAAGTGATCCTCTGACCTCAGCCTCCCAAGTAGCTGGAACTACAGGAGTGTGCCACTGTCCCTGGCTAATTATTATTTTTTTTGTAGAGATGCGGTCTCACTATGTTGTCAGGGCTGGCCTCAAACTCCTGGGCTCAAGCAATCTTCCCACCCTGGCCTCCCAAAGTGTTGGGATTACAGGCGTGAGCCACTGTGTCTGGCCATAGTATTTTTTTATTTGAAACTATTTTCTCTTCTAATTTTTGTGCCAGGGCTTGCTTTATAATCTGCAGATGGTAAACTCAGAGATCTACAAAGGACAAGGACATAATTTCAATATATGGAACACAGTAGGAACTGTACGTAGAATTACCTAGAGCAATTCAAATTAAAAATTTAAAAACAAGGCCGGGCGTGGTGGCTCATGCCTGTAATCCTAGCACTTTGGGAGGCCGAGGCGGGTGGACTGCCTGAGCTCAGGAGTTCGAGACCAGTCTGGGCAAAAACGGTGATACCCTGTCTCTACTAAAACACAAAAAATTAGCCAGGCGTGGTGGTGTGCACCTGTAGTCCCAGCTACTTGGGAGGCTGAGGCAGGAGAATCGCTTGAACCTGGGAGGCCGAGGTTGCAGTGAGCCAAGACTGCACCACTGCAATCCAGCCTGGGCAACACAGCGAGACTCAATCTAAAAAAAAAAAAAAAAAAAAAAGATACAAAGAAAGGCCAACATCTAGATCCAGCCTCAACACAGTAACTGATGTTGGACTTTCCTTTCTGTCATAATCAATGATAAAACCAGAGGAAATATAGAAAACAACCATTTTCAGGCATTAGAGAACTTACTACAAAGGACTGTGATGATTATTATTATTATTTTTTTTTTTTTGAGACAGAGTTTCGCTCTTTTGCCCAGGCTGGAGTGAAGTGGCCTGATCTCAGCTCACTGCAACCTCCACCCCCACCCCCCGGGTTCAAGCAATTCTCCTACCTCAGCCTCCTGAGCCGCTGGGATTATAGGCACCCACCACCATGCCCAGCTAATTTTTGTATTTTTAGTAGAGACATGTTTCACCATGTTGGCCAGGCTGGTCTCGAACTCCTGACCTCAGGTGATCCACCCCAACTGCCTCCCAAAATGCTAGGATTATAGGCATGAGCCACTGTGCCCTGCAGGACTGTGATTCTTGAGAGAAGAGAAACAAAGGTGGTAAACTTCATGTACTCCAGATTTCTTGCTGGGGGCACTTTCTAATGAAGGCAGAGGAAGGTGTGGGTCTAAAATAGAAGAGAGGGGGCTTCTTGGGCAGACAAAACAGAGGCTGGAGTTTAGGACAGCTGAGGTGTCTAGAATTTGTGTCAGAGAATAGGGTGCTCAGGAAATGTGTGTAAGGGAACCTGTTGGCACATGTGTAGGGGAAGCCCCAAAAGCCTGGTGGAGAACAGCTACTGGGGGGTTGCAAGCTGGCTGGGAATTCTGGAGATCTCAGAGTGCTGAAAGATACTGGTGTTTCAAGGAGTCAGTGTGGAGAGATCTCACTGAATATCCTGGACATTCAGTTGAGACCCCAGAAAGATTAAGCCTCAAGAATGTAGCTCCTTAATAAGGGCTGCTGTGGAACCAACCTCACAAATCCTAGAAACAAGCCTCAACAGGAAAAAGCTAATCTGCCAGCAAATTAACTGCCTGCCAGAATAAAAGTCAATACTCTTTAAAGAAAGAGAGCAAAATCCAGACTCTCAACAATGTAGTGCCCACAATGTCCAGAACACAATAAAAATTACCAGACAAGTAAAAAAAGCAGGAAGATGTAATTCATAACCAGGAGCAAATGTCCATAGAAACAGACCAAGAGGTGACATACATGTTGGAATTAGTTGTGAGGGGCTTTTAGACAACTATTATAAATATGTTCAAGATTTTCAAAAGCAAGCAAGTAAATTAAGATGTACATAATGAGTGACTAGATGAAGACTTGCAGCAAAAAGAATAAAAAGGAACCAAATGTTAACTCTAGTTCCAAAAAAAAAAAACCAATAATAGACTTAACAGCAGATTGGGCACTGGGGGAATTAAAAAAATGGATTTTAAAGACTATTGAGAGAGAAAGAGAGAAAACAAAATAAATGAAACTAAACAGCAATAGAAAAAAACAGAGCCTCAGTGATCTGTGGAACAGATCTATATGTACACTTAGATTCCCAGAAGATAAGAGAGGTTGGGGCAAAAAAAAAAATATTAAAAATCTGTATTTAGGCCAGGTACAGTGGCTCACACCTGTAATCCCAGCACTCTGGGAGGCCCAGGTGGGGGAATCAACTGAGGTCAGGAGTTCAAGACCAGCCTGGCCAACACGGTGAAACCCCGTCTCTACTAAAAATACAAAAATTAGCTGGGCGTGGTGGTGCGCACCTGTCATCTCAGCTACTTGGGAGGGTGAGACAGGAGAATCACTTGAGCCTTGGGAGGCAGAGGTTGCGGTGAGCTTAGATTGCACCACTGGACTCCAGTCTGGGCGACAGAGTGAGACCCTATCTCAAACAAAACACAACAAAACACCAAAAAAACCCCACAACCTGGATGAATCACCAGGGAATTATGCTGAGTGAAAAAAAGCCAGTCCCAAAAGGTTATATACCAAATGATTCCATTTATATCATTTTCTTTTTCTTTTTATGTTTGAGATGGACTCTTGCTCTGTCGCCCAGGCTGGAGTGCAGTGGTGCAATCTTGGCTCACTGCAACCTCTGCCTCCTGTGTTCAAGTGATTCTCCTGTCTCACCCTCCCAAGTAGCTGAGATGACAGGTGCGCACCACCACGCCCAGCTAATTTTTGTATTTTTAGTAGAGACGGGGTTTCACCGTGTTGGCCAGGCTGGTCTTGAACTCCTGACATCAAGTGATCTGCCCACCTTGGCCTCCCAAAGTGCTGGGATTATAGGCGTGAGCCATTGTGCCTAGGCCATTTATATCACATTCTTGAAATGACACAAATATAAAAAATGGAAAACAGATTAATGGTTGAAAGGGGTTAAGAAAGGGGTTGGGATGGGAGGGAAGTGGGTGTGGCTATAAAAAGGCAAGAAGAGCAATCCTTGAAGTGATGGAAATGTTCTATATCTTGGCTTATGTCAATCACAATATCCTGGTTGTGATACTGTACTATAGTTTTGTAATATATTACCATTGGGGGAAATTGGAAAAAGATTATCTGGGTTGTCTCTGAACTCTTTAATAATTTTAATATTGAATAAAGTTTATATTTATTTTTATCCAATAATATGTAATATTGAATACAATATTTATCTAATACTATTTAATATTTAACATTCCTTAAAATTGCATGTGAATTTACAATTATGTCAAAATAAGATTTTAATCTAAAAATAAACTAAGGCCAGGCACGGTGGCTCATGTCTGTAATCCCAGCACTGTGGGAGGCTGAGGCGGGTGGATAACCTGAGGTCGGGAGTTCGAGACTAGCCTGACCAACACGGAGAAACCCCGTCTCTACTAAAAATGCAAAGTTAGCCGGGTCTGGTGGCGCATGCCTGTAATCCCAGCTACTTGGGAGGCTGAGGCAGGAGAATCTCTTGAACCCGGGAGGCGGAGGTTGTGGTGAGCTGAGATCGTGCCATTGCACTCCAGTCTAGGCAACAAAAGCAAAACTCTGTCTCAAAAAACAAGCAAACAAACAAAAACAAACAAAAAGATTTTAATTTAAAAAAGAGAACTAAAAGCCAACAGGAGAGATAAAATGGAATAATAGAAAATCTTCAATCAATCCAAAAGCCAGAAGAGGAAGAAAGAACAAACAGGAAACAAATAGTCAGATTACAGGTATAAAACCAATACTTATATTAAAGAGCAGGAATTTTCAGCTGGCTAAAACAACAAATGCCAACTATATACTGTTTACAATAAACATAACCTTTTTTCTTATCTTTTTGTATTGACAATTTCAGACATACTGAATTGCAAGAATAATGCAAAGTTTGTGTTTGTTTGTTTTTTTTTTTAGACAGTCTTGCTCTGTTGCCCAGGCTGGAGTGCAGTGGCACAATCTTGGCTCACTGCAGCCTCGGCCTCCTGGGTTCAAGCGATTCTCCTGCCTCAGCCTCCTGAGTAGCTGAGATTACAGGCGCCCGCCACCACACCTGGCTAATTTTTGTATTTTTAGTAGAGATGGAGTTTCACCATGCTGGCCAAGCTGGTCTTGAACTCCTGACCTCAGCTGATTCGCCCACCTTGGCCTCCCAAAGTGCTAGGATCACAGGCATGAGCCAACTGCATCTGGCCTACCACATCTTCTTTATCCATCTGTCTGTCTGTTTTTCTTTGAATTATCTGAGAGTAAGTTGCAGACATAGGGCTGGGTGCAGTGGCTCATGCCTGCAATCCCAGCACTTTGGGAGGCCAAGGTGGGTGGATCACTTGAGGACAGGAGTTCGAGACCAGCCTGGCCAACATGGTGAAACCCTTTCCCTACTAAAAATATAAAAATTAGCAGGGCATGGTGGGGGCACCTGTAATCCCAGCTACTCAGAAGGCTGAGGCAGGAGAATTGCTTTACATTGCTTTGTCTTTCATGATACTGACTTTTTTTTTTTTTTTTTAGACAGAGTCTCGCTCTGTCGCCCAGGCTGGAGTGCAGTGGCGCGATCGCGGCTCACTGCAAGCTCCGCCTCCTGGGTTCACGCCATTCTCCTGCCTCAGCCTCCCGAGTAGCTGGGACTACAGGGGCCTGCCACCATGCCTGGCTAATTTTCTGTATTTTTAGTAGAGACGGGGTTTCACTGTGTTAGCCAGGATGGTATTGATCTCCTGACCTCGTGATCCACCCGCCTTGGCCTCCCAAAGTGGATACTGACATTTTTGAAAAGCACATGCCAGTTTTTTTCAAGGAACATCTCTCATTTGACATTAGGCTGAACTTTTCCCATGAATGGATGAAGGTTATACATTTTTGGCAGTACTGAAAAAATGGTGTTTTGTTGTTCTCAATGCCTTGTATAAAAAGGCACATGACATCAATTTGTCCCATTGTTGGTGTGAACTTTGATCACTTGACTATGGTAGTGTCTCCATTGTAAAGTTGCTATTTTTCCCTTTGTAATAAATAAGTATCTTGTGGGAACATACTTAGAGACCATGCAAATATCTTGTTACTCCACAATCTTTCACCATGTTAGTATCCATTCACGTCTGAATATTATGATGGTTGCCAAACAGTATTTCTGCCTAATTCATCATTTTTTCTAACATTAGTTGGCTTTTTACTGTAAGAAAGGGGGTCCCGTCTCTTTCTTCCTATCAGCACTGGAATCACAGATTCCTATTTTATTCAACAGATAATATTATTTTACTGTCAATATTCATTTTGGAGCTCAAATTATTCCAGATTTGGTCACTGAAAGCCCCTTTAAGCTGACTCCTGTGTCTTTTGACATGTTCTGAATAGTCTTTGAATATTTCCTTACTTTGTGGCACAAGATGTTCCAGGCTCATCTTGTACTTTACCTAACACAGTTCTGGAGTTAGTCATTCCTTCAAGGAATTCTGGTTCCCTTTTTTTTTTTTTTTTGAGATGGAGACTTGCTCTGTTGCCCAGGCTGGAGTGGAGTGGTGCGATCTCAGCTCACTGCAACCTCCACCTCCTGATTTCAAGCGATTCTCCTGCCTCAGGCTTCCAAGTAGCTGAGATAACAGGCGTATGCTACCATGCCCAGCTAATTTTTTTATTTTTAGTAGAGACAGGGTTTCACCATGTTGGCCAGGCTGGTCTCGAACTCCTGACCTCAAGTGACCTGCCCACCTTGGCCTCCCAAAGTGCTGGGATTACAGGCGTGAGCCACCACACCTGGCCCTGGTTCCCTTTCATGTAAACTGGAATTTAAAAACAAAGATCTGGGTATGAGGTGTGCTCCACTGCTACTAAGATATAATTGCTTCCATGCTCTCTCAGTGGGCAGAGGTAGGAAACATATGTATGAATACACACAGACGTATGTGTATATATAATATATGTAAACAAGCCCTCACACATCTACATCTATTCCTATCTCTATATTTATTAGAAACCACAAGTTCATACTGATACCTCCAATTCCAATCCAGTACCACAGGGTTCATTCTATCCTTTCCCCTTTTCATATGTGTAAATCTTTTCTCTGACAGTGAGAAACTTGGCACTCAGTATTCACAATATATTTATTTGTTTAATCCTAGAATACACATAAAATCGTTTTTGAATTGTATATCTATATCTCTGCGAAAAAGAAACCTACTAACTAGAGTTCAGTTCATTTTGTCTTTACCATTATGACATTTAGTCCAAATATTGTGTTTTAAGTTACTTTGACACAGTCAGAGAACAGATTAGCGTTTGCCAGTAGCTGGGAGGATGGATGATTGTAGCTATAAAAGGGTAGCACAAGGAATCCTTGTGATGATGGAATAGCTATACATTTTTTTTTTTTTTTTTTTTTAAAGAGGGAGTCTCGCTCTTTCGCCCAGGCTGGACTCTTTCGCCCAGGCTGGACTGCAGTTGCACTATCTCTATCTCTGCTCACTGCAAGCTCCGCCTCCCGGGTTCACGCCATTCTCCTGCCTCAGCCTCCCGAGTAGCTGGGACTACAGGCGCCCGCCACCGCACCCGGCTAATTTTTTGTATTTTTAGAAGAGACGGGGTTTCACCGTGTTAGCCAGGATGGTCTTGATCTCCTGACCTCGTGATCCGCCAGTCTCGGCCTCCCAAAGTGCTGGGATTACAGGCGTGAGCCCCCGCGCCCGGCCAGAACAGTTATACATCTTGACTGCGGTGACGGTCATAAAAATCTACACAGGTAATAGAACTAAAAAGAGCTTCACACAAATGAGTGCATGAGAATGGGTAGAACTGAATAAAGTCTGGGATTGTACCAATGTAAATTTCCTATTTGTGATATTGTACTATAGTTATAGTTCCCCTTGTATCTAGGGGAAAACAGTGTAAAGGATATACACTACTTCTAATAGGTTTTGCAATTTCCTGTGAATCTACAATTTTTTAAAATAAAATAAAAATAAAAGGTTAAAAAAAAGTTACCTGGGCCTGTCCCTCCACCCCTTCCATTTTTATTGATTAATTACCAACAGGATTTTGCTGTGTTGCCCAGGCCAGCCTCATACGCCTGTGCTCAAGTGATCCTCCTACTGGAGCCTCCTGAGTAGTTGGAACTGTGGGTGCATGCCACCATGCTAGCTCTCCTTTATTTTATTAAAATACAGTTAGGTTAACTTGTTTCTGTTTGTATTCCATTTTTGGCACCCTGTGAACTTGATTTTTTGAGTATGTAAAACATTAAATTTATGCCCAGTGTTCCATTATTGGAACGCTAAACTTGTGAGAGTTATTTGTATCCTACTGCTCAAGGTCATTGCCCAGGTCTGATTTTTCACACAAAAAATGTTGAACCCCAGGCATAAATGGGTTAACATGACTCTAAAAAGTGTTTACAGCCACACAAAAAGGCATACTCAGGGAAGTGTTTACCACCACCACCACCACTGCCACCATTACCACCGAGCCCAGTACCTTTTCTCCTTTTTATCCCATTCCCACCCACTCTCTGTATGTAAGCAATTTTATTAGTCTGTGGCTTACCTTAACTTTGTTTCTTTTTTAAACAAATGATCAGAATCATGTATATTTTTATCATTTTTTTACAAAAAGATATGTATATTTAATATAATATTATTTTGCATTTTGCTTTTTAAACTTATTTTAGAATTCAGTTCATAAGGCTGGGCCTGGTGGCTCACACCTGTAATCCCAGCATCTTGGGAGGCTGAGGTGGGCAGATCATCTGAGGTCAGGAGTTCGAGACCAGCCTGGCCAACTTATCTTTCTTTTAAATATGCATAAGGAAACATGGAAAACATTAAACATTACAGGAAAATAAAACTACAGGTCAATATCCCTTGTAAACATTGATGCAAAAATCCTTAACAAAATATTAGCAACTTGAATCCATCAATATATAAGAAGGATAACATCACAACCAAGTAGGGTTTTTATTCCAGGAATGCAAAGTTGGTTTAACGTGAGTAAATTAATCAGTGTATTACACCACATCAACAGAATAAAGAAGAAAAACTATGATTATCTCAATAGATGGAGACAACATATTTGGCAAATTTCAATACTTATTCTTCGTAAAAATAATACACTAGAAATGGAAGGAAGCTCCCTCAAACTGACAAAGGGCACCTATGAAACATTTATAGCTAACATCACACTTAATAGTCAAAAACTGAATGTTTTCACCCTAAGATCAGGAATGGGGCAATAATGTCTACTCTCACTGCTTCTCCAACATTTTCCTGGAGATTCTAGCCTATGCAGTATGGCAAGAAAAAGCAAGCAAAAGGCATACACAGATTGGGAAGGATACAGTTAAAGTGTATTTTTAGACAACGTGATTGTGTATGTAGAGAATCCTAAGGAAAACAAACAAAAATCCTACTAGAATAAGTTAATTTATTAAGGTTGCAGGGTTTCTATACACTACTAATGAGCAATTGGAAAATGATAGGTCAAGAAGGTATATGCATTTGTCAAGACTCACTGGATGGTATGTATGCAAGCTAGTTTACATAATTTAATTGTATGTAAATTATACTTAATCTTTAGAAAATTAAAATAAATCAAGGTAAAGGCCAAGTAAAGTATCTTTTAGCATAATTTGGGTGAGTGGCCAATTTGCCCCTCTGAGAGAATTTTAAAGTAGGGCCAGGTTTTGTATAAATCATGTTTGTCTGTTTT
Organism: Homo sapiens; assembly: GCF_000001405.40. Lineage (NCBI taxonomy): Eukaryota > Metazoa > Chordata > Mammalia > Primates > Hominidae > Homo > Homo sapiens. Next base: position 176,327,178 of record NC_000005.10, on the reverse strand, counting down.
AATTCCTAATTTTTTTTTGTTACCTATTCCTTAGCTTTCCCATTTCTTACCAGCATCTGGGCTTACATGAATGAATAGTAGAGGAGTTGGACCCAAATGAAATACTCCTGACAAAGTGTTAGAGCAAGCATGGTATTCATGTGCACTTTCTTCTGTCTGACCAGTACAACACACTGCCTCCTTTGAATATTGAATTTGGGATTAAGCAGCCCTGGGTTTAAATTTGGATTCTGAACCTGATTAGCTACATAAACTTAGGCTAGTTAACTCCACCTCTTTGAATGCTTTTCTTATTCATTAAATAGAGATAACATTGCCAGGTGTGGTGGTTTACGCCTGTAATCCCAGCACTTTGGGAGACTGCGGTGGGCAGATCACCTGAGGTCAGGAGTTTGAGACCAGCCTGGCTAACATGGTGAAACCCCATCTCTACTAAAAATACACAAATTAGCTGGGTATAGGGGCATGCACCTGTAATCCCAGCCACTCAGGAGGCTAAGGCAGGAGAATCACTTGAACCCAGGAGGCAAAGATTGCAGTGAGCTGAGATCCCACCACTGTACTCCAGCCTGGGTGACAGAGTGAGACTCTGCCTCAAAACAAATAAATAAATAAATAGGGATAACATTATAAGAAAAATAAATAAGGTTGGGTGCGGTGGCTCATGCCTGTAATCCCAGAACTTCGGGAGGCTGAGGCAGGAGGATTGCTTGAGCCCAGGAGTTCAAAACTAGCCTGGGCAACATAGCAAGACCCTGTTTCTAAATTATAAAGAAAAAGAAAAAGAAAAAAAAAACAGAAAACAAATGAGATAATTAATGTGACAATGGCTGGCACATTGTAGGGACTCAGTAAATGTCTCAATCTTACCAGAGTATTTTAATTAAGTCCTATTCCAGTACTATTTGGCATGACATTTTCTTGTAATAGAAGAAACCAAAGCTGCACAATAGTTGTCTTGGTTGTCAGCTGGGAGTTTAGGGATGGGGATGGGAAGCACGCATGGAGCTGGTGGAGATGCACTGAAGACAAACATATACCATAATTTCCCCAAGGGTCACCACTACGCAATGACTCTCTTATACTTATTTCCTGTACCAGCAATTGTTCATGAATTCATATTCATTCTAGTTTAGTTTTCTTCCTCTGGATTTTAAAATTACTGGGTCAAGGAAGGAATCATTGTTTTTAGCCAAAAACCATTTCTTTATCCCTTCCTAATGAAATACTTCACTAATTCATGTTTAGAGAAACTGAATTCCTAATTCTTACTATCTGGGGTCATTCTATAGGTCCAACTCTTTTCATTCTTGTGTCACCTCTAGTTCCTCTAATATTGGATATATCTATTTCATTCACCCACCAAGCCTTTAGTGAACACTTATGCCAGGCCTATGGATAAAGATAAGAGAAGAAGGCAGGGCTTAACAGTTAAATTTTTATTTTTATTATTTATTTAATTAATTAAGTAATTAATTTATTATTTATTTTTTGAGACGGAGTCTCGCTCTGTCACCCAGGCTAGAGTGCAGTGGCGCCATCTCAGCTCACTGCAAGCTCCGCCTCCAGGGTTCACACCATTCTCCTGCCTCAGCCTCCTGAGTAGCTGGGACTACAGGCGCCTACCACCACACCCGGCTAATTTTTTTGTATTTTTAGTAGAGACGGGGTTTCATCGCATTAGCCAGGATGGTCTCGATCTCCTGACCTCGTGATCCGCCCGCCTTGGTCTCCCAAAGTGCTGGGATTACAGGTGTGAGCCACCACAGCCGGCCTTTATTTTTATTTTTTTTGAGATGGAGTCTCACTCTGTCACCCAGGCTGGAGTGCAGTGGAGCAATCTCAGCTCACTGCAACCTCCACCTCCTGGTTCAAGCGATTTTCGTGTCTCAGCCTCCTGAGTAGCTGAGATTATAGGTGTGCACCACCACGCCCAACTAATTTTTGTATTTTTAGTAGAGACAGGGTTTCACCATGTTGGCCAAGGCTGGTCTTGAACTCCTGACCTCAGGTGATCTGCTCGCCTAGTCCTAGTCCTCCCAAAGTGCTGGGATTACAGGTACGAGTCACTGCACCCACCCTTAACAGTTAAATATTGAAAGAAGAGTAAAATTGTTAGGCAAATTGATAAGGTTAGAAAATTTAGCCTCCATTTAGGGTACTGTGCCTCTTCCCAAGAAATTATATCTCAGTTGTAAATAATAATAATTAGTTGAGAACCTCCTTTCCAAAAGTCAAAGACATAAGAATAATCCTTCTACTATTTTCTTCCTATCTTAATTAGTTTGGAATTTTCTCTTGTAAAATTCTGTTCCTGACAGGTAGCATAGATAGAAAAGTTAATTTAATAAAAATGATTTCCAAGAGTTTTTTTTGTTTTTTTTTTAAATAACTGCTCTCCCCAACAAAATCAAGACTCACCTCTGGCTCCTCTCAGGAATGTCCAGCACAAACCCAAACATCATCTCGGCAATTTTATTGGAGCTGCAGGTGGGGGTCCTGTCCACCTCTACGGCTATGGAGAGCATCCTCTGAAGCTGGCACACAATCCTGAGTCCAGAACATAGGACACAGATGAGTGTGAGGGTCTGGCAAGGAGCCACTCTCTGGCTGGGAGGAGGTCCCCACCAGTGTACATCGAGAGTAGAGACTACTAAAGGATCTTATAAAGCACACACAAGGTCAGGGAGAACTACTCAAACCATCAGCATGCTTTTATTTAGCAATTTCACCTACCTGAATCCCTTTTGCCAGAACATACTATTTGAACCTCTCAGAACCTGGGGTTGAGCTGTAAAAGCAAGCTGCTTTTAAATTCAAAAATAGAACCACACAACCTTAAGGATATAGGGAACTATAAGGATCATCTAATCTATAACTTCCCTGTTTTGCAGATGAAGAAACAGGTCCAGAGTGACTTAAAATGATTTAAATTTCTTTGATACAGGAGAAAATATGTATTTGCCATACAGTTTTCTCCTGTTACTGTTTCCTTTACAATAGCTTCTTACTAAGTTCGGTCTCAGAACCTCCCCTGGTGGAACCTGACCTTCTCTCCCATTAGATCTAACTGTGGGAGAGAGCCAGCCTGATGTGGCATTAGGAGTCGGGGCAACCTCTCAGAAAGGTGAGCCTGGCCTGACATCAGCCTTTTCTAACACGTGTTTTTTTTTTTTTTTTTTTTTTTTTTTGAGATGGAGTCTAGCTCTGTCGCCCAGGCTGGAGTGCTGTGGCGCGATCTTGGCTCACTGCCAGCTCCGCCTCCCAGGTTCACTCCATTCTCCTGCCTCAGTCTCCTGAGTAGCTGGGACTACAGGTGCCCGCCACCATGCCCGGCTATTTTTTTGTATTTTTTTAGTAGAGACGGGGTTTCACCGTGTTAGCCAGGATGGTCTCCATCTCCTGACCTCATGATCCACCCGCCTTGGCCTCCCAAAGTGCTGGGATTACAGGCGTGAGCCACCACGCCCGGCAACACATGTTATCTGTGATGGAAGAAAGGTTTTACTTTAAGAAAATCTGCAGCTAGTAACACAACAGGTGGGCCAGACCAGCAGCTCTGGCCTCAGATTCTGTCTCTACAATGATAAGCTGTTTAACCTTCGACAAGTTACTAAACTGCCCTGAGTCCAAGTGTTCTCATCTATAAAAAGGGTGAGCAATAATATCTATTTTGTAAAGTTGTGAGTGCTATATAAAATATCTCACAGGGACTCTCTAGTGATAAGTGGTAGCAACCTACTATTGTTGTTAAGATCATAACAAAATTGACTTTTAGGGGACCCTATTGTTATTTCTACTAACATGTATTTATAAACATTTATTATGATGATTGTTATATGATACTAGCTTCCATTGAAGGAACAGTGTCCACCTCCCTCTTGGGTCTGTATGTGGCCCGTGTGGGAGAATGCTACTTTAGGGCCTTCCTCAATCTGTCCAAATGCTTCATTGTTCCAAAACATTCCCCTTTAGATATAAAATTGTTTCCTAAATTAGTTATAATTATTTACAATTTAGGAAACAATTTAAACTTGTAGGTCTTCCATAAAAATCAGGTTGGTGCAACCAGATTATAACATTGTGAATTCAGACACAAATGTTACATTTGAAATGCCCAGTGTGACTGGCTTTTCACAATATGATTGACATGGAATACTGGGTTATTTGTGCAAGGGTAGCCCCAGCCCCTAATCTCCCGGCATCTCTCAAAAAACGCCAAGACCACTCTCAACTCCATAAAAGAAATGCCATGAATTTCTTTCCAGTGCAGTCTGCGGTGATGATACCTGCCCTGGTGTGTTGGAACCTGCAGGCTGAATGCTATTTTTCTCCCGGGACCTGAGGAGAGAAACCCAGGTCCTTGAGGACTCGAGGTTAACAAAACTCACACTACACACCACTCCTTCTCTATGGCAACAGATATCTGAAGTGATGAGGAGCTGTAACCCTTTACTGTCTCCTGAAATGCAGGAAGTGAAGGGCAGTGTCCTCTAGCATTTGTTTTGCATCTGCGTTGTGACTTCGTATTCACTTTGTGAAGTCCTATTCATTTTAGGGGTGAAAGCACCTGGTTTTGTTCTGCCTTTGAAATCAGAAATTTAGCCTCTAGTTAAACTAAGTCTTGAATAAGCATCAGCCTATGTTCTAAGATCTTGTTAATTTGGGGGAAGCTGCTCTTAGGGATTGGTGTTGTTCTCTCTAAAACACTAAACCCCAAGAGCCCCAGGAAAGAGAACTGCCTGCCCCTTACAGCTGATTGGTGTTCTTTGTCAGGTTGGGCTGGGAAGAAGGGTGGCTACTGCTGGCTTTCAAGATTCCTGTTCCTGAAGACGTTTGATTTCCATTTGGGGGCTGAGTCAATCCATCTTCAGTTACTGCTTTGACCAGCCACTTGATAACATCCCTGTAATGGAAAAAAGAAAGAAAAGGTTTATTCTTTCTTTTTCTGTGCAGAAAAAAAAAATAAAGAAAGAAAAGGTTTCCATGTCTGTTGTATTTATGGTGCTCAGAACTATAGCCTTAACCTGGGCCCCCAGATCCCTGGATTTCCCTACAGGCAACAAAAGGGCCCTCTGGCTATTTTCAATAATTAAACAAGTCTAATAAAAACATCACATTTAACTGCAGTAAGGCTGTAAAAGTCAACTAAAGGCCAGGTATGGTGGCTGATGCTTGTAATCCCAGCACTTTGGGAGGCTGAGGTGGGAGGATCTTTTGAGACCAGGAGTTTGAGACCAGCCTGAGCAACACAGCAAGAACCCAACTCTACAAAAAAAAAAAAAAAAAAAAAGCTAACTAAAATATCAACATTTTTCTTTGAATTGTAAGTATTCAAAGGTAACTTCAGGGTAAAATAGTACTATCTGTGCCTTCCTGACCAGGAACATTCCTAAACCAAGTGGAAAGTTAGACTGGGTGACCACAGAAGTCCTTGCCAGCTCTATATTATTGTCACCTATTAATGTTAACAACTAAGGTTTAGAGTGTGTGCAGTGGAATCACACTTTATACAGGGCTGAGGCTCTACAAGTTAATAAGGTAAAAACATACAGTCAAAACTACTTTTAATGATCACTTAGGTAACCTAGGTAAAAATAGTAGATTTAATATACACACCGAATTTTGTTTCCTCCTAAAACCCCACTAATATTATAATAAATAACTTTTGAAAAATATCCACAAGGAAGAAGAGAAGAGGAGAGAAGATGAATAGCAGTGAGTTTTTTTTTTTTTTTAGGCAGAGTCTCGCTCTGTCGCCAGGCTGGAGTGCAGTGGTGCGATCTCGGCTCACTGCAAGCTCCGCCTCCCAGGTGATAGCAGTGAAATTTTGAAAGGTGGAAGGCAAATGAAGGATATGAGTATGAATATGACTATCAATATAAATAAACTACAGTGACAGGCAACAATATGGACAAATCTTGGTACTATAAAACAGTAAGTGAAAAATAAAATTCTCAATAGATTACATATAGCATGATACCTTTTAATATAGAGCTAAAGGAACTAAAGTAAAAAAATATATTTTATAGGAATACATGTATATGCAATACAACTACATAGAAAGGAAAGAAATGAAATGATGACCATGCAGAATGATGATCACCTGGGTGCAAGGTGGGTGATGAGGGGTGTAGAGATGGGTTCTGGCTATGTTGCTCAGGCTGATGGATGAGGGGTGAGGTAATTGTCAAGGGCTTAGTCTTTGATTTGGGAGTAGGTTGAGAGATGCTGATTACAAAATTAAAAGCAACCAATTAACTGAGCAAATAAAGCCACTGTGCCATGTTTTAAGATGACGTTTAATCCAAGCCTATGAATTAGGCAAAGGAATACATTTTAATTGACTTAGTGGAATTGAGAAAGCTGAATCCTAAGCCAGCAGCAGAGAAGAGCTATCCTATTTAATCCTATTTACTTAAAAAAAAAAAACTTCAATAGCTCTGCAAGCGGTAGCACCAGGTTTCTCTGAAGTGTTGAAAGAGGGGTAAATTGAAATATGTAGGTGGCGGCCAGGCATGGTGGCTCACTTTGTAATCCCAGCACTTTGGGAAGCTGCAGTGGGCAAATGGCTTGAGTCCAAGAGTTTGAGACCAGCCTGGGCAAAATGGTGAAAACCTGTTTCTACTAAAAATACTAAAAATTAGCAGGGCGTGGTGGCACGTGCCAGTAGTCCCAGCTACCCAAGAGGCTGAGGTGGGAGGATCACCTGACCCCAGGGAGGTCAAAGCTGCAGTGAGCTGTGATCGGGTTGCTGCACTCCAGCCTTGGGCAACCAGAGTGAGACTCCGCCTCAAAATAAATAAATAAATAAATAAATAAATAAATAAATAAATAAATAAATAAAATAGGATGGCTTGAAAGCTGTTTAATAAATTTTTAGACCTCTAGAACTTCCCCAATCCTGCAGACTACAAGTTAACTTTGTGGAGAGGTAAAACAGATGGTCTCTGGACTGGGATACCAGGCACGGCTTAGAAGCAGACACTGAAGCAAATGGGGCACTAAATGAACATAGGCATGCTGAATGCAGAGACCCTTGCTATCTTCTCACACGTGTCTTCCAAAACCTTGGCATCCTGTCTTTATCCTTCATGTAAGAGGTTGGATGTCCTCTCTGTAAAACCGAACCAGCGCAAGAGGAAAGACCTTGACTCAAGAAATTTTCTTAGAAATGAGAAATCAGTTCCACCTAGAGGGAAGTGCAGAAATGACAAGTCCTCTTATTGTCTTCAGAGCTTCCATTATCTTTTGAGTCTCGCACCTTTAAATATGGATAGACTATAAACTACCAAGGTTTACCAGACATCTATGGAAAGCTTTTAACATAAAGAGATAGAGACCAAAATACCCTCTCCTTCCTCCCAAAAAAGCAACTTGGAGAAAACAGACATTATGTAGAAGAGAAACAGAGAATAAACAAAAATGAAAATTCTGATTAGCAAAATCAAAGATACGAGATGACATGGATCCAGGAAAGAAGAAAATAAGAATACAGTTTATATTATTTTCTTTTGCAGAGTCAGGGTCTTGCTATGTTGCCCAGGTTGGTCTTGAACTCCTGGCCTCAAGTCATCTTTCCACTTTGGCCCCTGAAAGTGCTAGGATTACAGGCCTGAGCCACTGTGCCCAGCCTATTATTATTATTTTTTAGAGATGAGGGCTTGCTCCGTTGTCCAGGCTGGAGTGCAGTGGTGCCATCACAGCTCACTGAACTCCTGAGCTCAAGCGATCCTCCTGCCTCAGCCTCTCCAGTAGCTGGGACTACAGGCACATGCCGCCATGCCTGGCTTATTTATTAATTTTAATAAGGAAGACACAGAGAAAAAATAAAAGGGCTCTTGGAAATTAGAAAGATAATTACAAAAGTGAAAAATCCTGTTTATTAGAAATGAAGGACATTTTTCCAGACTGAAATGGCCCACTGAATGCCCAACCCAATGGATGAATATAAACCTAGGATAAGCACATTTGGCAAAAAGAGAACTTTACAAACTTCCACAGGGAAAAACCAGGGCACATACAAAGAATCAGTAATCAAAATAGCTTATGACTTCTTTTTTTCCCCCTGAGACAGGGTCTTGCTCTGACACCCAGGCTGGAGTGCAGTGGCACGATCTCAGCTCAGTGCAACCTCTGCCACCCAGGCTCAAGTGATCCTCCTATCTCAGCCTTCCGAGTAGCTGGGACCACAGGTGTGTGCCACTAAGCCCAGCTAATTTTTTGTGGTTTTGGTAGAGATGGGGTTTTGCCATGTTGCCCAGGCTGGTCTTGAACACCTGAGCTCAAAGTGATCCACCCACCTCGGCCTCCCAAAGTGCTGGGACTACAGGCGTGAGCCACCACGCCCGACTACTTACCATTTCTTAACAGCAATTCTGGAAGCTAGAAGACAATGAAAGATTTCCTCTGATGTTCTGTAGAAAAGTTATTTCTAAGCAAATCATCTATCCTCAGTCTAATTATCAATCAATGTATGAGAAGATAAAGACATTCGCAGACAAACAAGATCTCAAAAACTTTACTTCCTATACACCTTTCTTAGAAAGCTACTAGGAATGGATTCCTTAAATGAAGGTATGAGCCATGAAAGAGAAAAGACAGGACAAACAAACAAGTCATCCAGTCTTGAAAAGCATTAAAGAGGACTCTCAAATTTATGATGAAGACTGGAAAAGAGGACGAGTGATCTAGATTGAAGGAGATCAAAACATTCTACCTCAGATTTTTGAGAAGAAACTAGTAGGACAATCCAGTGTGAATAAATATCTTGAGGGGATATTGAGACCAACTGAGGCAAGAAAATAGGGTCTGGAGGCAGGGAACCTAAGGCCAATTCATGTTGAATTCCTAGAACTAAATCAAAAGGAAAACCCCAATTTTCCATGCCCAAGTAACAAAAGGACCAGAGGCTTCTCCCTTTGCAACCTTGCCCGCCTCCCTGCTTTTTCTGCGTGGCAGATGAAAAATTGAAAGTACCTCTGACTGGTCCCCTCCCACAACCAATCAGGCTGGTCATGGGCCAAGTCTTCATTTGCATAGGAGTATAACTTTGTAACTTCACTTCAGCCTCTGATTTGTCCCCTCCCACAACTAATCGAACTGATGGTGGGCCACTACTTCATTTACATAGGTTGTACATCAAGTACAATGGGAAACCTCTAGAAGGTATTTAAACCCCAGAAAATTCTGTAACCAGGCTCTTGAGTTGCTTGCTCGGGCCTGCTCCTACCCTGTGGAGTGTGCTTTCATTTTCAACAAATCTCTGCTTTTGTTGCTTCATTTTTCCTTGCTTTGTTTGTACATTTTGTCCAGTTCTTTGTTCAAGATGCCAAGAACCTAGACACCCTCCACCGGTAACACAACTAGGAGAGAATTTGGGGTTGAATTCTGATACATACAAGGAAAGCAAGAAACTTAAAAATAGGATAATTATTAACCTTAGGGAAAACAAAAAGATATGAATGAAAGGAAAAGCAATCACGGTTTAGTACTTAGTAAAATTCTGACTAGCACACATAGTCATAGTAATAGAAACACTGAACACTGATATAAAAATTATAATATATTAATGATATAGAGGCTGGCAAATATGTGTGTGATGGGGAATGTGGGGAGGAAAAAGAGCGAACTCCTTATTTTTCATGTGAGAAGTCAACAGATAATGGCTAACAATGAAAAATCAAGAAGCAGCACTGCAAGCATGTTATTTTGCCATATGGGGGTATATTTTGCCATATGGGGGTAAATATTTAAAAAATCAATTAAAGAGAAACAGGAATGCAGGTGAGGGAACCTGGAGACAAGTATATTTCTGAAGTCTTGTAGAAACTAGTCTACTCTTTGTATGCATAGTTCAAAATGAAAGAAAGAAAAGAAAATCCCTTAAGAAGGGTTCATATGGAGAATGATCATGTCTCTCTCTTTTTAAAAATACCTCTTTGAGGTATAATTTACATACAATAAATTGTCAAAGTTTTGTTTGATGAATTTAGATAAATATATGCATACATCCTTGTAATCACCAACTCAGTCTAATATCCATTTCTTAATGAATCAAAGATAGCTCATTTTCCTGCCAACTGAAACAAATGATTTTTTTCATTGAGTAAGCACAAAACAGAGGACCTGGCCTAGATTTAGAGGTCACAAACACCCCTCAAAAATGCCTATCTTTGTTGTTGTTGTTTTTGAGATAGAGTCTTCCTCTGTTGCCCAGGCTGAATTGCAGTGGTGCAATCCTGGCTCACTGCAACCTCTGCCTCCCAGGTTCAAATGATTCTCATGCCTCAGTCTCCCAAGTAGCTGGGATTACAGAAGTGCACCACCATGCCTGGCTGTTTTTGTACTTTTAGTAGAGGTGGGGTTTTGAGGCCAGGCTGGTCTCAAACTCCTGGCCTCATGTGATCCGCCCACCTTGGCCTCCCAAAGTGCTGGGATTACAGGCCTCAGCCACCATGTGCAGCCCAAAATGCCTTTATTTATTTTTGAGACAGAGTTTCCCTCTTGTTGCCCAGGCTGGAGTGCAATGGCGCGATCTCAGCTCACTGCAACCTCTACCTCCTGGGTTCAAGCAATTCTCCTGCCTCAGCCTCTCAAGTAGCTGGGATTACAGGTGCCTGGCACTATGCCTGGCAAATTTTTTGGGTTTTTTTTTTTTTTTTTGTATTTTTTAGTAGAGATGGGGTTTCACCATGTTGGCTAGGCTCATGTCGAACTCCTGACCTCAAGTGATCTGCCCACCTTGGCCTCCCAAAGTGTTAGGATTACAGGTGTGAGCCACCACGCCCAGCCTTAAATGCCTATCTTTAAACCCAAGAGTCATACCCCGTACAGTGAGAGGCTCACACCACAGGAGGTGAAAATGAAAGCAACTGAGAGAACAGTGCCTTGGGTATCCCACTCACTCTTAATGCCTAGGCTCGCAAAGCATAATGGTAGATGGAATTGTTCTCATTATGTAAATTATTTTTCACTTTTTAAAATTTATTTTTATTTGCTTTTGAGACAGAGTCTCGCTCTGTCACCCAGGCTGAAGTGCAGTGGTGTGATCTCGGCTTACTGCAACCTCTGCCACTCAGGTTCAAGCAATTCTCCTGTCTCGGTCTCCCAAGTAGCTGGGATTACAGGCACATGCCACCATGCCTGGCTAATTTTTGTATTTTTAGTAGAGATAGGGTTTCACCGTGTTGGCCAGGCTGGTCTTGAACTCCTGGGCTCAGGTGATCTGCCCGCCTTGGCCTCCCAAAGTACTGGGATTACAGGTGTGAGCCACTGTACCCGGCCAATTTTTTGCTTTAAAATTCAACTATGCTGTCTTGTGCTCTCTGTTGATTCTCTACTTACTGATTTTGTACCCCTAAAATTATTAACATTTAATCTTTAGAAAAAATATCACATATAGGGAAATAAATATGGGCATGTAAACTAAGGGGGTGGGAAAACTGAACAATGCCCAAAACATAACGAAACGTCCTCCTTGTTATTAGAGGATTTATCGTAGTCATTGCCCCATGTTGACCTGTGTATACTACTTTCAACAAATATGTCAGAACATATGAGAGCGTAAATGTGGAAGAGTTTCAATGCTGCTCTGAACAAAGAGACGCTGGTACACCCTTCTAGTAAGAGCCATTTCCAAAAAAGCAAGGGATGTTCGGATGCTCAACCTATGATGGGGTTACATCTGGATAAACCCATCTGATACAGCTTTGATATTTGACCTCTCCAAATCTCCTGTTGGTGTGATCTCCAGTGTTGGAGATGGGCTTAGTGGAAGATGTTTGGGTCATGGAGGCAGATCCTTCATAACTGTCTTGGTGCTGTCCTCATGGTAACGAGTGAGTTCTCACTCTATTAGTTCACTCGAGAGCCGACTGTTTGACAGAGGTTGGCACCATAGCCCCGCCCCCTGTCTTCCTTCCTCCCTTGCCAGGTGATACTCCAGCTCTCCTTCACCTTCTGTCATGAGTAGAAGCTTCCTGATGCCCTCACCAGAAACAGATGCTGGAGCCACGCTTCTTGTACAACTTGTAGAATTGTAAGCCAATAAACCTCTTTTCTTTATAAATTACCCACCCTCAGGCATTCCTTTATGGCAAAACAAAGGGACTAAGACACCACTGTAAGTTGAAAATATTTTAAGTTGAAAACACATTTAATGCACCCAATCTACCGAACATTGTAGCTTAGCCTAGTCTACCTTAAATGTGCTCAGAACACTGACAGCTTACAGTTGGGCAAAATCATGCAACACAAAAGCCTATTTTATAATAAAGTGTTGAACAGTTTATCTAATTTATTGAATACTATACTGAAAATGAAAAACAGAATGTTTGTTGGGTACTTGAGGTATAGTTTCTACTGAATGGTTATCAGTTCTGTACCAATGTAAAGTCAAAAAATCCTAAGCCAAACCATCATGAGTCAGGGCCATCTGTAGTTCCAAAAGGAAAATTCAAGCCCACAATCCCCTACCCTAAAGATCATATTTTCCCCCGCTTGGTATAAGCATATAGTAGTTCCATGCTTCCAGAAACTCTGACTCTGATTCTGCAAAAAAGAACACATGCTTACTATCTAATGTACCTTACTGTCAGCTACATGACCTATTGTTATAGATATTACTTTCCAGAAACTAGTAGTGACAAATGAGATTTATATTGAGGTTCATCGGGGGATAGGAATAAATGTAGGTTAATAAAAACTGAAAAGTTTTATATAAGGCTTTCCCCTAGATTTCACAAGGTTGTTTGGACAATATTGAAATAGACCAAAGGAAGTCTGTTGGTCTTGACAGAAAACTCATTCAAGCTATGTGGTGCCTGCCACATTGTTGGTTTCTTTTATGATTATCAGGAGGGGTTTATGATTAGCTATAGTTTTATTTTTAAAAATTAATTAATTATTTTTGAGATGGAGTCTTGCTCTGTCACCCAGGCTGGAGTACAGTGGCGCAATCTCGGCTCACTGCAACCTCTGCCTCCTGGGTTCAAGTGATTCTCCCACCTCAGCCTCCCAAGTAGCTGGAATTACAGGCATACGCCACCACGCCCTGCTAATTTGTATATTTTTAGTAGAGATGTGGTTTTGCCATGTTGGCCAGGCTGGTTTCGAACTCCTGACCTCAAATGATCCGCCCACCTCGGCCTCCCAAAGTACTGGGATTACAGGTGTGAATCACTGCACCTGGTCTATCTATAGTTTTAAAAATTAGCCCTATTACACTATCTACTGACTAGAAAACCTCACCTGGCTGATATTCTGGCCTTCAGCAGCTGCCCACCTATAATCCCTTACCTCTTCTCATCCGAGGGCTCAGGTGGCTGCTTACCTGACATTGTGGGGCTGCTTGTCACAGGAAAGCACCATGTTTGCAATGGATTGCTGCAGGTGCTGCCGTTGCCTCCTCAGGGTCTGCTGAAAGTCATCTTCTAGGGTCTGAACGACATAACGCAGGAAAAGGACTCGCCCAGGCAGAGTTTGTCCCTGTGGGAAAAAGAATGAGAAGTCAGTCTTTCTTCTCAGTCTCTTGGATGACAGTCAACATTGGGCTCTCATAAATACTAAGCCCAAGAGAAGGCCATGCATCAACAAGTATGCCTGTGCTTAAAAGAGAGGCTCCTAGGAGAGGGCAGGTAGTCTGGGTCATTATGAGAGAGGACAAATAGGGTGACTGCTGAAAAAAATCATACCTTATAAGGTTTCAGAAACCATTTTTTAAGTATTATTACTTGTTCAAAGGATCTAGGCATCTGCAGATAATTATAATTTTCTAACACCTAAGCTGCAATCAGATATCTACTGGAATCTCTAGGATTGTAGATCATTTGATTTAAGAGGCAGCCATGGGAAGTCAATCTCTCCCTCTCACTGAACCTATCAACCTCAGGATATACCCAAAACTACAGATGGCAAAACAGAGAAAGAGAAACTGGTTCTTTAATGACTCCTGTGCTGCTAGATCAAACCGCCATGATGTCCACTCTACTGATGAACTTCCAGTCATGCGAGCTGATTGAGCCAAGTCTGTTGGCTTGGCTCAACTTGACTGTTGGGCCAAGCCTGAGTTGGGTATTCTGTTACAGGTGAAATGATCCTAACTGACAAACAGTTAAAGAGCATGGGCTTTGGAGGCACGCAGCATTCAGTTTTTGTTGCTGTTTGTTTTAGACCTAGCTCTGTCCTTTATTTAAGCCCTCTAGGACTTACTGTCCTTCTAGTTTACACGGGGATAATTCTAACCTTACCAAAGACAGTGTTAAGTACCTGTCACATAGTAGGCAAGCATGCACAATTTGTTGGTTTCCCTTTACTACCAGACAAGTGCTGGGAGCTTAGGCTTCAAACTTTAAAGAACCAGAAGGTACCAAACTATTTCTGGACTATGTGGAAACCTCCGAACTCCAGAGAATAGGTATATTTTCTCAGAACATAAACTAATGGACCAGGATATGATTCAGTCAGTAGGAAACTAAGTGACCATTCTGAATACATATCATTTCTTTCTTTTTTGGGAGGAGGTGACAATATCTTTGTCTTCCAAAGGTGTTTATTTTTCTCTAATCCTTGATAACTGATGCAAATGCTTTTTTAAAAAATCATGTACCTGTGCTAGATTTTTTTTTTTTTTTTTTTTTTTTGAGATGGAGTCTTTGGTCTGTCACCCAGGCTGGAATGCAGTGGCGCGATCTTGGCTCACTGTAACCTCTGCCTCCCAGGCTCAAGCAATTCTCCAGCCTCAGCCTCCCAAGTAGCTGGGATTATAGGTGCCTGCCACCAGGCCTGGCTAATTTTTGTATTTTTAGTAGAGACAGGGTTGCACCATAATGGTGAGGCTGGTCTTGAACACCTGACCTCAGGTGATCCACCTGCATCGGTCTCCCAAAGTGTTGGGATTATAGGCGTGAGCCGCTGCGCCTGGCCTTGTGCTAGATTTTTGATAAAAAGAAAGTCTTCTACTGACTCCACTCTCCACCACTACTTGTGTTCTCCAGTATCCTAGAATAATTTTTAACTCATTCTTCTAGAAGTCACCATAAACATCTCTAAAGAAATAGGCTTTTATTATGATTTCTTGATTTATCAACTGTAGACATTATCTATTGCTTTCTGCTATGCTAGATAAGAATTTACTTAGGCCAATCCCCCACCTCTTCTCTTCCTAAAAGAAGTGTATTTCCATCATCTATAGACAGTATCTCTTGACTCCCCATTTTGGAAGATAAGGATGTTACACCAGCCCTGCTATTTTCAGAGGTCCTGTCCCTTTTCATCTCCCAAACTTTATCTTCTATACTTTCCGTTTTACATCGTCAAGGCTAATAAAATTGTCTCCTATGCTTTGTATATAAATTGATTCTAAATGTTATAACTACATAGTGTTTACAGTGTCAGGATTCTGTTAAAAGTATTTACTAATACGTTTACTAACTACTTTTAGTAAATCCATATAGTATACTAAGAAAATCATTCCTTTCTTGTGAAGTTTTTTTGTTTTTCTAGAGTTTTGTTTTTTTCTCCCCTCCTTTAACTACCTGTAATTATATCTCTTTCAACTCAAGAATAGTGCTGAATCTTGAGAATACCTATTTTCCCCAAATAATTCTTTCTCTCTTTTTTTTTTTAAATAATGTGGGCTGGGCATAGTCATTCATGCCTGTGATCTCAGAACTCTGGGAGGCTGAGGTGGGAGGATCATTTGAGGCCAGGAAACAAGACCAGCCCCGGAAACATAGTGAGACCCCCATCTCTACAAAAATAAAAATAAAAAAATTATCCAGGCGTGATAGCATGTGCCTGTAGTCCTAGCTACTTAGGAGGCTGAGGCAGGAGGATCACTTGAGTTCAAGAGGTCATGGCTGCAATGAGCTATGATCATGCCACTGCACTCCAGCCTGGGTGACAGAGCAAGAGACCCTGTCTCAAAAATAAATAAATAAAACAACTTTATTAGCATACCATAAAATTCAGCCATTTTAAAAGTACAATTCAATGATTTGTAGTAAACCTACTGAGTTGTGCAAACATTACCATAATCTACTTTTTAGAACATTTCCATTACCCCACAAGATCCCTCATGGGCACTTACAGTTCCCTTTCCAATCATTAGGCCAAGGCAACCACTCATCTGCTTTCTGTCTCTCTAGATCTGCCTTTTCTAAACATTTCTTAGAAATAGAATCATATAATATGTAATGTTTTGTGTGTGGTTTCTTTCACTTAGCTTATTTTTTTTAACGTCTGCCCATATTAATGGTATGCATCAATAGCTCATTGCTTTTTTATTTTTTATTTTTATTTTTTGCTATCTAGACTACAGACTTTATTCATTATCACCAGATTTTACATGCATTCATTTGTGTGTATGTAGGTCCATACAACTTCAGCACAGGTAAAGACTCATGTGCTTAACCTCATAATCAAATGTTATAATCAACATCATAATCATCATAATCATATAGAACTGTTCCATCAGCACAAAGGAACTCCTTGCGTCATCCCTTTATAGTCATACATACCCCACACCTCCTCCAGTCCCTATCCCTGGCAACCATTAATCTGTTCTTCATTTCAATAATTTTGTCACCTCAAGAATGTTATATAAATGCAATCATACATTATGTGACCATTTGAGACTGGCTTTTTTTGTTCACCATAATACCCCTGAGGTACAACCAAGTTCTTGTAACCAACAGTTAGTTCCTTTTCATTCCAGAGCAGTATTCCAAGTTATGGATGGTTTGTTTAACCACGTACCTGTTGTAGGACATCTGGGTTGTTTCCAGTTTGGGGCTATTACAAATAAAGCTCCTATGAATATTTGGGTACAAGTACAATATAGGTTTTCATTTCTCTGGAATGAATGTCCAGGAGCACAACTGCTGGGTCTTATGTTTAACTTGATTAAAAAATTATGCTTAACTCGATAAGAAATTTATAAACTCTTTTCCAGAGGGGCTGTACCATTTTACATTCCTGTCAGCAATGTATAAAATATCCAGTTTGTATCCTCATTAGTATTTGGTATTTTTACTATTTTTTCTTTAGCCATTCAGATAAGTAAGTCATAGCCTCACTGTGGTTTCAATTTGCATTCCCTGATGACTTATGGAGTTTAACAGCTTTTCATATGCTTACTTGCCATCTATAGATCCTCTTCAGTGAACCATCTATTCACGTCTTTTGCCCATTTTCTAATTGGACTGTTTGTTTTTATTGTTGAGTTTTTGTGGCCTTTTTTTTGAGACAAGGCCTCACTCTGTTACACAGGTTGGAGTGTGGTGGTGTGATCATAGCTCACCGCAGCCTCAAACTCCTGGGCTCAAGTGATCCTCCTGCCTCCCTAGTAGCTGGGACTACTGGTGTGTGTCATGGTGCCCAGCTAATTTTTTAAAAAAATTTTTTTGTAGAGACAGAGTCTCACTATGTTGCCAGGCTGGTCTGGAACCCCTAACCTCAAGCACTCCTCCCATCTTGGCCTCCCAAAGTGGTGAGATTACAAGCATGAGCTACCATGCCTGACTTCAGTTGAGTTTTTAGCACACTTTAAATATTCCAAATTGATCAGATATATGGTTTGCAAATTCATTTCAATCTGTAGTTTATCTTTTCCTCTTCTTAAATCACAAGTTTTTAAATTTTGAAGAAGTCCAATATACCAGTTTTTATCTTTTACGGATATGCTTTTGGGGCAAAGTCCAAGAACTTGTCACCTAGCCCAAGATCCTGAAGATTTTTCTCCTGTGGCTTTTTTCAAAGTTGTATAGTTTTAT
Organism: Homo sapiens; assembly: GCF_000001405.40. Taxonomy (NCBI): domain Eukaryota; kingdom Metazoa; phylum Chordata; class Mammalia; order Primates; family Hominidae; genus Homo; species Homo sapiens. The sequence goes on along the minus strand of NC_000005.10, from coordinate 176,309,404 downwards.
GTATTGCATTTAAGTCCATTATACATTTTGAATTAAATTTTATATAAGATGTGAGGTTTAAGTAGAGGTTCTTTTTTCTCCTTGCTATGGGTGTCTAATTGCTCCAGCATAATTTGTCAGAAAGGCTATTCTTCCTCCATTGAATTGCTTTTGCACTTTTTCAAAATCAGTTGAGCATATTTATATGGGTTTATTTCTGGGTTCTCTCATCTGTTCCATTGATCTATGTGTCTGTTCCTCTGCCAATACCATCTATCTTGATTACTACAGCTTTATAGTAAGTCTTGAAGTCAGGTAATGTGAGTCCTCCAAGTTTTTCTTCTTCAAAATTGATTTAGCTTAAGTAACTTTACACTGGATATTTTCATCTTTCTCCATTTTGTCTCCTGCTTTATTCCAGAGAAGAAAGTTCTTGCATAAGCTCTTCCTTTTCTTGTTGCAATTCCTGCAAATGCTATTGGTTTTGCTCCAGTCTGTCCTCCAACCACTGTAGAAGAGGCCCGCTGACTGCTGACATCTGACTGCACAGATTCTTGGTAAACACTGAGCCATTATGGATCTTGGTTATGAGTCCAGATGTGTAAGGCTGTGGATCCTCCAATATGCATCCTGCTCCTCCTGGCACAGGATCTTGGGCAGCTCTACTGCTGATTCAAGGCACGCTTTCCCGATAGTGACATGAGGTACAATATGGATTGGGATTTCGATTCTCTCATACCTTTCCTCTTCCTTCTGGCCCTCAATGGAGATGTGCTGGCTGGAGCTCCAGAAGTCTTGTGGACCATGAAGGGACTCTGAACTCTTTTGGGCCTGTATGGATTGGAAGCAAGTGTAGAGTACCCGGCCAGCCCTTGTGTTCTTATCTTCTATGAAACAGGAAAAAATAAGTCCTACAAAGCCTTGATCCATCATCTGGTACATGGCTTGGGTGCGAACATCAACATGTGAAGGCCAAACAGTTATATGAGGATGGGAATGATACCAGCCCACAACTCTCATGGGGTGGCCTGTCAGTTCAGCCAACTTCTCTGCCTCTGTTGAAGCTGCAGACAGCTGCCCTGGTGAAATTTCTACTTGGTCCTTCCTCTTATCAGAACGTCGTTAAGATGATGACAGAACGAATGTGAACAATTCTGATGGCATCAACCTTTTCAGCAACTGTGCGCATTTCAGTTCCAGTATATGCAAATTTGGAGTCACTCCTTGTATCATTGTTCAACTCCCCTATCCACAGCCCCATCACTTCCTCCTTCTCTGTGCTCAGAGCATGGTTGAGACAAACAAGGAAAGTGTCAGACTCTAGATGAACTGCCTGCACCGCCTGCACCACCTGCACTGCCATCTTGGCCCAGCTCATTGCTTTTAATTACTAAATAGTATTTCATTTTGTTCATCCATTCACCAGCTGATGGACATTTGGGTTATTTCCACATTTTGGCTATTATGTATAACACTGCTTTGAACATTTGAATGTATGTCTTTGGCTGACAGGTTTTCATTTTTGTTGGGTCTATATCTAGAATTGGAATAGATAGGGCAAATAAATTTATGTTCAACTTTTAAAGAAACTGTCAAACCATTTTCCAGAGTGCCTGTACTATTTATATTCTCATCAGCAATTTATGAGACTTATGTTCTCCACATTCTTGGCAATGTTTATTATTGTCTGTTTTCTTTTAACAAAAGTTTAAAAATTGTGATAAAGGCCAGGCGTGGTGGCTTACAACCTGTAATCCCAGCACTTTGGGAGGCCGAGGCAGGTGGATCATGAGGTCAGGAGATCACGACCATCCTGGCTAACACAGTGAAACCCCGTCTCTACTAAAAATACAAAAAATTAGCCGGGCGTGGTGGCGGGCGCCTGTAGTCCCAGCTACTCGGGAGGCTGAGGCAGGAGCATGGTGTGAACCCAGGAGGCAGAGCTTGAAGTGAGCTGAGATCACACCACTGCACTCCAGCCTGGGCAACAGAGCAAGACTCTGTCTCAAAAAAACAATTGTTACAAAAACCACATTATCATTAAATTTACTAAAGTAAACATTTTTAAGTGTACAGTTCAGTAGTGTTAAGTATATTCACAGTCCTGTAAAAGAGCCCCAGAACTTTTAATCTTGCAAAACTGAAACTCTATATCCATTGAACAACTTCCCATTTCACACTCCCTCACTGTTTTCCATAGCAGTTGCACCACTTTACAATCCCAAGAGTGCACAAAGGTTCTAATTTCTCCAAATTCTTGCCCACACTTATTTTTTGTTTTTTTAAAAAATAGTGGCCATTCTAATTGGTATGAGGTGACATTGCATTGTGGTTTTGATTTGCATACCTCTAATAACTAGTTATATTGAGTATCTTTTCAGAAGTTTGTTGGCCATTTCCATATCATCTTTGGAGAAATGTCTATATAAGTCCTCTGCCCATTTTTAAATTGGGTTATTCATTTGTTGTTGAGTTGCTGGAGTTCTTTATTATTTTTTTTTTTTAATTTATTTTTTTATTGATAATTCTTGGGTGTTTCTCACAGAGGGGGATTTGGCAGGGTCATGGGACAACAGTGGAGGGAAGGTCAGCAGATAAACAAGTGAACAAAGGTCTCTGGTTTTCCTAGGCAGAGGACCCTGCGGCCTCCGCAGTGTTTGTGTCCCTGATTACTTGAGATTAGGGATTGGTGATGACTCTTAACGAGCATGCTGCCTTCAAGCATCTGTTTAACAAAGCACATCTTGCACCGCCCTTAATCCTTTTAACCCTGAGTGGACACAGCACATGTTTCAGAGAGCACAGGGTTGGGGGTAAGGTCACAGATCAACAGGATCCCAAGGCAGAGGAATTTTTCTTAGTGCAGAACAAAATGAAAACTCTCCCATGTCTACTTCTTTCTACACAGACACGGCAACCATCCGATTTCTCAATCTTTTCCCCACCTTTCCCGCCTTTCTATTCCACAAAGCCGCCATTGTCATCCTGGCCCGTTCTCAATGAGCTGTTGGGCACACCTCCCAGACGGGGTGGTGGTCGGGCAGAGGGGCTCCTCACTTCCCAGTAGGGGCGGCTGGGCAGAGGTGCCCCTCACCTCCCGGATGGGGCGGCTGGCCGGACGGGGGGCTGACCCCCCCACCTCCCTCCCGGACGGGGCGGCTGGCCGGGCAGAGGGGCTCCTCACTTCCCAGTAGGGGCGGCCGGGCAGAGGCGCCCCTCACCTCCCGGACGGGGCGGCTGGCCGGGCAGGGGGCTGACGCCCCCACCTCCCTCCCGGACGGGGCGGCTGGCCGGGCAGAGGGGCTCCTCACTTCCCAGTAGGGGCGGCCGGGCAGAGGCGCCCCTCACCTCCCGGACGGAGCGGCTGGCCGGGCGGGGGGGCTGACCCCCCCCAACCTCCCTCCCGGACGGGGCGGCTGGCCGGGCGGGGGGCTGACCCCCCCACCTCCCTCCCGGATGGGGCGGCTGGCCGGGCAGAGGGGCTCCTCACTTCCCAGTAGGGGCGGCCGGGCAGAAGCGCCCCTCACCTCCCGGACGGGGCGGCTGGCCGGGCAGGGGGGCTGACCCCCCCCACCTCCCTCCCGGACGGGGCGGCTGGCCGGGCGGGGGGCTGACGCCCCCACCTCCCTCCCGGACGGGGCGGCTGGCCGGGTGGGGGGCTGACCCCCTCACCTCCCTCCCGGACGGGGCGGCTGGCCGGGCGGGGGGCTGACCCCCCCACCTCCCTCCCGGACGGGGCGGCTGGCCGGGCAGAGGGGCTCCTCACTTCCCAGTAGGGGCAGCCGGGCAGAGGCGCCCCTCACCTCCCAGACGGGGGGGTTGGCCGGGCGGAGGGCTGACCCCCCCACCTCCCTCCCGGACGGGGCGGCTGGCCAGGCGGGGGGCTGACCCCCCCACCTCCCTCCCAGACGGGGTGGCTGGCCGGGCTGAGGGGCTCCTCACTTCCCAGTAGGGGCGGCCGGGCAGAGGCGCCCCTCACCTCCCAGACGGGGCGGCTGGCCGGGCGGGGGCTGACCCCCCCACCTCCCTCCCGGACGGCACGGCTGGCCAGGCGGGGGCTGACCCCCCCCCCGGATGGCACGGCTGGCCGGGCGTCGGGGCTGACCCCCCACCTCCCTCCCGGACGGGGTGGCTGGCCGGGCTGAGGGGCTCCTCACTTCCCAGTAGGGGCGGCCGGGCAGAGGCGCCCCTCACCTCCCAGACGGGGCGGCTGGCCGGGCGGGGGGCTGACCCCCCACCTCCCTCCCGGACGGCACGGCTGGCCAGGCGGGGGGCTGACCCCCCCCCCCTCCTGGATGGCACGGCTGGCCGGGCGTCGGGGCTGACCCCCCACCTCCCTCCCGGACGGGGTGGCTGCCGGGCGGAGACGCTCCTCACTTCCCAGATGGGGTGGCTGCCGGGCGGAGAGGCTCCTCACTTCTCAGACGGGGCAGCTGCCGGGCGGAGGGGCTCCTCACTTCTCAGACGGGGTGGTTGCCAGGCAGAGGGTCTCCTCACTTCTCAGACGGGGCGGCCGGGCAGAGACGCTCGTCACCTCCCAGACGGGGTCTCGGCCAGGCAGAGGCGCTCCTCACATCCCAGATGGGGCGGCGGGGCAGAGGCGCTCCCCACATCTCAGACAATGGGCAGCCGGGCAGAGACGCTCCTCACTTCCTAGATGGATGGCGGCTGGGAAGAGGCGCTCCTCACTTCCTAGATGGGATGGCGGCCGGGCGGAGACGCTCCTCACTTTCCAGACTGGGCAGCCAGGCAGAGGGGCTCCTCACATCCCAGACGATGGGCGGCCAGGCAGAGACACTCCTCACTTCCCAGACGGGGTGGCGGCCGGGCAGAGGCTGCAATCTCGGCACTTTGGGAGGCCAAGGCAGGCGGCTGGGAGGTGTAGGTTGTAGTGAGCCGAGATCACGCCACTGCACTCCAGCCTGGGCACCATTGAGCACTGAGTGAACGAGACTCCATCTGCAATCCCGGCACCTCGGGAGGCCGAGGTTGGCAGATCACTCGCGGTTAGGGGCTGGAGACCGGCCCGGCCAACACAGCGAAACCCCGTCTCCACCAAAACCAGTCAGGCGTGGTGGCGCGTGCCTGCAATCGCAGGCACTCGGCAGGCTGAGGCAGGAGAATCAGGCAGGGAGGTTGCAGTGAGCCGAGATGGCAGCAGTACAGTCCAGCTTCGGCTCCGCATGAGAGGGAGAGGGAGAGGGAGAGGGAGCTGGAGTTCTTTATATATTCTGGATATTAACCCTCATCAGATATATGATTTATAACTATTTTCTCCCATCCCATAAGCTGCCTTTTCACTCTATTTGGTATTTTCTATTTTTATTGCTCACTCTGTTGATGCACAGAAGTTCTGAAGTTTGATGCAGTATTATTTGTCTATTTTTGTTTTTGCTGCCTGTGTTTATGGTGTAATATTCAAGAAATCAATTGCCAAATCCAATGTCATGAAGCTTTGCCCCATGCTTTCTTCAATGAATTTTATAGATTTGGGTCTTATATTCAGGTCTTTAATGCATTTTAAGTTAATTTTTATATGTTCAGAGTCCAACTTCATTCTTTTGCAAGTGGATATCCACTTTTTCCTATGACATTCAGAGACTGTCTTTTCACCACTGAGTCGTCTTAGCACCCTTAATGAAGATCACTTGACCATGTACCCAAAGGTTTATTTCTGGGCTCTCTAGTCCATATGTCTATCTTCTTTCTTGTACCACACTGTTTTGAGTACTGTAGCTTTATATTTTACAGTCAAGAAGTGTGAGAACTCCAACTTTGTTCTTTTTATTTCAAGATTGCTTTGACTGGCCGGGCATGGTGGCTCACGCCTGTAATCCCAGCACTTCGGGAGGCCGAGGCGGGCGGATCATCTGAGGTCGGGAGTTCGAGACCAGCCTGATCAACATGGAGAAACCCGTCTCTATTAAAAATACAAAATTAGCCGGGCATGGTGGCGCATGCCTGTAATACCAGCTACTTGGGAAGCTGAGGCATCGCTTAAACCCAGGAGGCGGAGGTTGTAGTGAGCTGAGATTGCGCCATCACACTGTAGCCTGGGCAATAAGAGCTGAACTCTGTCTCAAAAAAAAAAAAAAAAAAATTGCTTTGGCTATTTGGTGTCCTTTGCAAGATACCAACTTTTTTTTTTTTTTTTTTTAAAGACAGAGTCTCACTCTGTCACCCACACTGGAATGCAGTGGCGTGATCTCAGCTCACTGCAACCTCTGCCTCCCGAGTTCAAGCAATTCTCTGGACTCAGCCTCCTGGGTAGCTGAGATTACAGGTGCCCACCATCATGCCCGGCTAAAGACATCAACTTCTGAAAGACTAAAAGTTGGTGTCTCTTGGGATTCAACATGAAATTTAGGATGGAATTTTCTATTTCTACAAAAAAAAAGAAATGCTGTTGGGATTTTGATGGGAATTGTGTTGAACCTGTAGATCACTTTGGGTAGTACTGACATCTTAACCATATTAAGTCTTCCACTCCATGAATATAGGAAGCCTTACCATTTATTGGTGTCTAATTTCTTTCCACAACATTTTGTAGTTTTCAGTATACAAATCTTTCACCTCCTTGGTTAGGTTTATGCCTGAGTATTTTATTCTTTTTGATGATATTGTAAATGAAATTGTGTTATTTCCTTTTCAGATTTTTCATTGTTGGTTTAACAAAAATGCAACTGAGTTTTGTGAGCTGGTTTTATATACTGCTGTTTTGCTGAATTCACTTATTATTTCATTTACTAGTTTTTTTTTTGGTGGAATTTTAGGATTTTCTACATATAAGATCATGTCACCTGTGAACAAAGATATTTTACTTCTCCCTTTCTAATTTGGATGCCCTTTATTTCTTTTTCTTGACTAACTGCTCTGTCTAGGTCTTGAGGTACTATGTTGAATAGAAGTGGCAAGAGCAGGCACATCTGATCTTAGAGGAAAATCTTTCAGTTTTTCACCATTCAGTATGATGCCAACTGTGGGCTTTTCACATATGGCCCTTATTATGTTGAGGTAGTTTTCTTTTATTTCTAGTTTGAGTGTCTTTATCAAGAAAGGGTGTTGAATTTTGTCAAATGTGTTTTCTGCATTAATTGAGGTGATTGTGTGTTTTTTCTCCTTCATTCTGTAATATGGTGTATCACATTTACTTTCATATGTTAAACCATCCAGGAATAAATCCCACATGTTCATGGTTTACAGTTGGCTCTCTGTATCTGTGGGTTCTGCATCCATGGATTCAACCAACTGAGATTTGAAAATAATTGAAAAAAAATTTACATCTACACTGAATATGTACAAATGTTTCTTCTTGTCATCATTCCTTAAACAATGCAGTATAACAACTATTTATATATAATTTACATTGTATTAGGTATCATAAGTAATCTACAGATGATTTGAAGTATATAAGAGGATGTGCATAGGTTATATGGGATTTGAACATCTGCAAATTTTGGTATCCAAGGGAGGTCCTGGAACCAGTCCCCCCATGTAGTCAACCAAGGGATGACTGCATATCCTTTTAATGTGCTGTTGAATTTTAGTTTGTTAGTATTTTGTTGAGGATTTCTTCATCAACATTTATTAGGTATATTGGTTGGCAGTTTTATTGTAGTTTTTTACTTTTCCTTTTTTTTTTTTTTTGAGACAGAGTCTCGCTCTATCGCCCAGGTTGGAGTGCAGTGGCACCATCTTGCCTCACTGCAACCCCTGCCTCCCGGGTTCAGGTGATTCTCCTGCCTCAGCCTCCTCAGTAGTTGAGATTTCAGGTGCATGCCACCATACTCGGTTAATTTTTGTTATCTTTAGCAGAGATGGGGTTTCATCATGTTGGTCATGCTGGTCTTGAACTCCTGGCCTCAAGCAATCCGCCCACCTTGGCCTCCCAAAGTGCTGGGATTGCAGGCATGAGCCACTGCACCCAGCTGCTTGTAGTTTTTTTGATCTGGCTTTGGTATCAGGGTGTATCACGCTACTAATAAAGACATACCCTAGACTGGGTAATTTATAATGGAAAGAGGTTTAGTTGCCTTACAGTTCCACATGGCTGGGGAGGCCTCACAATCATGGCAAAAGGCGAATGAGGAGCAAAGTCACATCTTACATGTCAGTAGGCAAGAGAGCTTGTGTAGGGGAACTCCCCTTTATAAAACCATCAGATCTCATGAGATTTATTCACTATTATGAGAACAGCACAGGAAAACCCGCCCCAATGATTCAATTACCTCCCACCAGGTCCCTCCCATAACACGTGGGAATTATGGGAGCTACAATTCAAGATGAGATTTGGGTGGGGACACGGCCAAACCATATCACAGGGTAATGCTGGCCTCACAGAATAAGCTGAAATAAGTTATCTCTCCGGTTTTTTGCAAAAGTCTGAGGAGGATTGGTGTTAATTTTTATTTAAATGTTTGGCCAAATTTACTAGTGAAGCCACCTTGTTCTAGGCTTTTTTGTTGAAAGGTTTTTGATTACTGATTCTATCTCCTTACTAGTTATTGTTCTGTTCAGATTTTTTATTTCTTCATGAGTCAATCTTGGTAGGTTTCTAGGAATTACTCCATTTATTCTAGGTTATCCAGTTTATTGGGGGTATAATTGTTGGTAGTATTCTCTTATAATCCTTTTTATTTCTGTGGCACTGGTTGTAATGCCCCCTCTTTCATTTCAGATTTTAGTAATTTTTAAAAATTCTATCACTGAGCTATCAATGCTGATTTTAGTAATTTGAATCTTCTCTCTTTTTTAATCTAGTTAAGAGTTTGTCAGTTTTGTTCTTTTCAAAAACCCAACTCTGTGGCTGGGTGCAGTGGCTCATGTCTGTAATCCTAGTACTCTGGGAGGCAAAGGTGGGAGAATCACTTGAGGCCAAGAGTTCAAGACCAGCCTGGGCAACTTAGCTAGATTCCCACCTCGACAAAAAATAATAAAAAATTAGCTGAGTATGGTGACGCATGCTTGTTTTCCCAGCTACTTGAGAGGCTGAGGCTGGAGGACAGCTTGAGCCCAGAAGTTCAAGGTTTCAGTAAGCGATAATTGTGCTACTGAGCTCCAGCCTGGGTGACAGAGTGAGACTCTGCCTCAAAACAAACAAATGAAATGTTTAAAAACCCCATATCTTAGTTTTGTTCATTTTTTCCCTATTCTCCATTTATCTCTGCTCTAATCTTTACTATTACCTTCCTCTGCTAACTTTGGGTTCAGTTTCTTCTTTTCCTACTTTAGATATACTCAGGTTGTTGGTTTGAGATCTTTCTTTTTCAGTGCAAGCATTTATTTACATCTGTACTTCTTAGTGCTGCTTTTGCTGCATCCATAAGTTTTCGTATGTCATATTTCCATTTTAATTTGTCCCGGAGTATTTTAAAATTTCCCATGAGATTTTTTTTCTCTGAACCATTGTTGTGTGTTGTTTAGTTGCCACATATTTGTGGGTTTTCCAGATTTCATTCTGCTATTGATTTCTAGTTTCATCCCATTGTGATTGGAAGATACTTAGTATAATATTGATGTTTTTACATTTTGTTTAAGTCTTGTTTTGTGGCCCAACATGTGGTCTATCTGGAGAAAATTCCACGTACACTTGAGAAGAATGTGTGTTCTGCTGTTGTTGGGTGGAATGTTCTGTGTATGTCTATGGTTAAGTGGCCTATAGTATTGTTCAAGTGCTCTGTTTCCTTATTGATTTTCTGTCTGGTTATTTTCTCCATTATTGAAAGTGGGGTACTGAATCTCCTACTATTATTGTGTTGTCTATTTCTTCTTTCAATTCTGTCAGTGTTTGCTTTATATATTTAGGAAGTCTGATGTTTAGTGCATATATATTTGTAATTGTTATACCTCCTTGGTGAATTGACCCTTTTATTATATAATGTCCTTCTTTGCCACTTGTAACAGTTTTTGACTTAAAGTCTTTTTGTCTTATATTAGTATAGCCACCCTTGCTCTCTTTGGATTACCAGTTGTGAGGAATATCTTTTCTCATCCTTTCACTTTCAGCAAATCTTTATTTCTTTTTTTTTTTTTTAGAGACAGGGTCTTGCTATGTCACCCAACTGGAGTGCAGTGGCACTATGATAGCCTACTGCAGCCTAGAACTCCTGGGCTCACGGGATCCTCCCACCTCAACCTCCACAGTAGCTGGGACAACAGGTGTGTGTTACTATGCCTACTAAGTAAAAAACTTTTTTAGAGACAAGAGTCTTTCTATGTTGTCTAGGCTGGTCCTGAACTCCTGACTTCAAGCAATCCTTCTACATTGGTCTCCCAAAGTGCTGGAATTACAGGCGTGAGCCATTGCACCTGGCCACAAGAGTTTGGTATTTGAAAAGATATAAAGTGGGACTCTTGTAGATGGCATATAGTTGGATCCTGGTTTTTAGTCCATTCAGCTAATCTCTGTCTTTTAATTGGGGACTTTAATCTATTTGCATTTAAAATAATTACTGACAGGGAAGAACTTACTATGGCCATATTAATTATTTCCTATACGTCTTGTAGCCTTTTCAGGCCTCCTTTCCTTTGTTACTGCCTTCCTTCATTTTTCATTGATTTTTTTTGTAGTGACATGCTTTGATTTCTTTCCCATTTCCTTTTGGTTATATTCTATAGATATCTTACTTGAAGTTACCAATGAGATCACATAACATGTCTTAAAGTTATAACAATCTAGTTTAACAACTTCAGTTGCATACAAAAACCTCTACTTCTTTACTACTCCACTGCAATTTATATTATCAATGTCTTAAAAGTTAGATCTTTATATACTGTATACCCATAACTTGTTTTGTTTTTTGAGACAGAGTCTTGCTCTGTTGCCCAAGCTGGAGTGCAGTGGCATGATTTTGGCTCACTGCAACCTCCACCTTCTGGGTTCAAGCAATTCTTGTGCCCAAGTAGCTGAGACTGCAGGCATGCACCACCACACCCAGCTAATGTTTATATTTTTAGTAGAGATGGGGTCTCACCATGTTGGCTGAGCTGGCCTCGAACTCCCGACCTCAGGTGATACTCCCATCTCAGCCTCCCACTCCAGGACAGGTGTGGTGGCTCACGCCTGTAATCCCAGCACCTTGGGAGGTCGAGGTGGGTGGCCAGGCAGCCCCCAGACAAGTCAGTACATTGCATGCATGGTCCACTCTTTTGTTTCTGGCCCAAGGGAAGAGCCAAGGTATGGGAGGTTTTTTCCTGGTTGAACCATGCTTTGCTGGGGAGGGAGAGGGACATGGGCATGCAAAATGCCACAAACTTTCCTAGCACTTTTGATAGACTATGTTCTTGGTTAGGCATTGGCCTGGGCACTGAAGCTTCTTAATTCGGCTCTAGAGTTCTCACAGTGATATTCTGGTCTGTATATGGTTGTTAATTCAGTGTCTCCATGGGGTAACAAGGGCCTGGAGCTTCCTAGTCTACCATCTTGCAGATGTCTCCCAGATTGTTCCTATTTAAAGCCCTCTGTTATTTCACTCCTATCTGGACTAACTGCTTCCTAGGTGTGCTATTCATTGTAATCTTGGGACTTCAATACTCTCCTGGATTAAATCTGATGTTGCCTGAATCCCATGCCTCCCCCCTTTTTTTGATTACTTCCTCATTCCTTTGATATACTACCTCAGGTAACCTCCTAAGAAACAGGGTATGAGGATATATTTTCAAATTCCTGCATAGCTGGAAATGTCTTAATTGTATCCTCACACTTAACTGATAGTTTGGCTAAGTACAGAATTCTAAGTAATTTGTTTTAGCCAATTGCTTTAGGTGAGCAGACAAAAAGTTGGGGATCCATTAAATTAAACTTGGGGATCCTTAAAGGTCAGAATGTGGAAGACCTTCTTCCTGTAGCACCAACTCTGCACTAGCTGTCTTTGTTTATTACAGAGAGTTCATTCAACGTTTTTTTTTTTTTTTTTTTTTTTTTGAGACAGAGTTTCGCTCTTGCTGCCCAGACTAGAGTGCAATGGCATGATCTGGGCTCACTGCAACCTCCATCTGCTGGGTTCAAGCAATTCTCCTACCTCAGCCTTCCGAGTAGCTGGGATTACAGGCATGTGCCACCACACCCAGCTAAATTTTCTATTTTTTAGTAGAGACAGGGTTTCTCCATGTTGGGCAGGCTGGTCTCAAACTCCCGACCTCAGGTGATTTGCCCGCCTTGGCCTCCCAAAGTGCTGGGATTACAGGCATGAGCCACCACGCCTGGCCTCATTCAACTTTTTTAGACAATACATTCTGTGACTTTTTGCCTGAAGGTAGGTAACCTGGCTACTGATCCTTCTGCCCTCAGCAATGAAGAGGTTGGCTGTTCCATCCACAAACTTTCAATAAATATCCAATAGCCCACATCTGACTCCTGCCCTCTATTAGATATTGTGTTTCTAAATCCAAGACCTCTCTGGTGCTCTAAAGTGAAGATTCATCCTTCCTTGGCTGTAGCCTCTTTACATATATGTGGCTTTCTCTGCCCGGCTCATCAGTCATCACTCTTACATTCTCTGTAGGTCTCCCTAATCTTCATTCAAATCTGCTATCCTTCCCCTTTTTTCATAGCCATGAATTTATAACTTTCTCTATTCATTTACTATTATTTTTAATGGGATCTCAAGGAGAGGGATAAGTAAATATACTAAATCTTGAATTGGAAGATAGCACATACCATTTCAATAGGAATTTTTTGGCAGGGGTGGGAGAATCAGGAGGGAATAATGGTGTAGACTTTATTACCAGATTTACTGTCACTTTTCTTTTTTCTTTTAAGACAGGGTCTTGCTCTGTCACCCAGGCTGGAGTACAATGTTGTGATCATGGATCACTATAGCCTTGACCTCCTAGGCTCAAGCAATCCTCCTGCCTCAGCCTTCTGTGTAGCTGGGACCACAGGCATGCATCACTATGCCTGGCTAAATATTTTATTTTTATTTTTGTAGAGACAGGGTCTCATTTTGTTGCCCAGGCTGGCCTTGAACTCCTGGGCTCAAACTGTCCTCCTGCCTCGGCCTCCCAAAATGCTGGGATTACAGGTGTGAGCCATGGCACCTGATATCACTTTTCTTTATAGTTAAAACTTCCCCTACAGAAGATATAATCTTATAATTGTTGTTACCTCTTCCTCCATGACATAGGTGAGCAGTTTCCAGTCCCACTCCACTGTCTTGGCATTGGCTGGATGTAGCCTGAAAGTCAAGTGAAATCAATTAGAATTATGGAGAATTTAGCGGAAGAAGGGATAGGATCTGAAGGTGATAGAAGGAAGAAGCCTCTTCCTATCCTCCATTATCCTCCATGCTCTTGCTCACTTTCTGGTATCATACCATGTCAATCTGAGAGTAGTGGAACTTCATTGTTTTTTGCTACCCAGTATCCAGTCCCCTTTTGGAAAGCTTTAGTACTATAATTTTGTCTTAAGAAACCAACTCTTCACTACTCTTAACCAACTAGTTTTACCTACCAGAACCCCAAAATGAAGTATGTGGCTTTTTTAGCCAATCGTGCTGTTCTACCCCTCAGTTCACGGTGATTGGCTCAAAGATATGGTCATGTCTCTCATTAGGCCAATTAAATCCTGCAAGACTCAATTTCAGAACTCTTGGGTGACTATAAAGGAAGCAGACACTCTTTCCCACTGGAAGTGTCATAAAAGCCTGAGGCTGAGAGGCTACCACATGCAGCCCCAAAACAGAACTGAGGCTGAGAGGCTACCACATGCAGCCCCAAAACAGAACTGAGGCTGAGAGGCTACCACATGCGGCCCCAAACAGAACTGAGGCTGAGAGGCTACCACATGCGGCCCCAAAACAGAACTGAGGCTGAGAGGCTACCACATGCGGCCCCAAAACAGAACTGAGGCTGAGAGGCTACCACATGCAGCCCCAAACAGAACCGAAGTAGAGCTGCAGAATGAACCCTGGTAACCATTTTTGTATACTGAATCAAGTCACATCTCACTCCTCGGTTTCTAGTAACACGAGCCATTAAATTCTCTTTTAGCAGTAGTTAAGGTCTGTTTGGACTGGGTTTCCTATCATTTGCAATTCAAATAACACTAATATGCTAAGTCACCCACTGTAACGGTTAGGTTAAAAAAGCCTGTCAAGAGAAAGCTATGCCCTGAGTCCAAGATCCCTAGAAGATTCGCCAACAGCCAGAGGTTACGGTTCATACTGTTGAATTTTCATGAGAAGCATGTAGGCCTCCTTTAGGACATCCACAGTCTCAGAGCCACTGAGCAAGATTTTCTGGATGATGTGAGCCACGATTTCTCTTGGTGGGTAATGCTGGGGTGACACAAAGTCCATCAAAAACTGCACAGTCCCCAGAGGAAAATTCTCTTCAATGGTATTTGTTACCATTCTTAGTCTTCGATGAGGGATGGGTTCTAATTTTTGACCCTTGTTCTGTAGAGATTAAAAAGAAGGAAATTAGGAGGGATTTCTTTTCTTTTTTTTTTTTTTTTTTTTTTGAGACGGAGTCTTGCTCTGTTCCCCAGGCTGGAGTGCAGTGGCGTGATCTCAGCTCACTGCAAGCTCTGCCTCCCGAGTTCATGCCATTCTCCTGCCTCAGCCTCCAGAGTAGCTGGGACTACAGGCGCCCACCACCACGCCCGGCTAATTTTCTTTTGTATTTTTAGTAAAGACAGGGTTTCACGGTGTTAGCCAGGATGGTCTCAATCTCCTGACCTCGTGATTTGCCTGTCTCAGCCTCCCAAAGTGCTGGGATTACAGGTGTGAGCCACGGCGCCGAGCCGGGATTTCTATAGTATACAAAAATAAGAGGTTCTAGAATACGTTGAAGATAGCAAAGTTTTCCAGGCATTTGAAATATTTCATGATTAAAAAAAAAAAAAGAGGACGGGTGCAGTGGCTCATGCCTGTAATCCCAGCACTTTGGGAGGCCAAGGCAGGAGAACTGCTTGAGGTCAGGAGTTCGAGAGCAGTCTGGCCAACATGGTGAAACCCCGTCTCTACTAAAAATATAAAAATTAGCCAGACGTGGTGGCACGCAACTGTAGTCCCAGCTACTTGAAGGCTGAGACATGAGAATTGCTTAAACCCGGAAGGTGGAGGCTGCAGTGAACCAAGATGGCGCCACTGCACTCCAGCCTAGGTGACAGAGCGAGACTCCAAATCAAAACAGACAAAAAAGAGCTTTATCTAAAAAACTTTTAATGACATGGGAAAAAGCTCATATAAAGTTAAAAAATCAGAATTCAAAATTGTACATATAACATGATTTCATCTATGTTAAAATATAGCATAGACAGAAAAATACAAAAGGGTCAACAGGTAGCCTAGGTTGATTTTGGGGTGAGGGTAACTAGAGACTTAGGGATAGCTGTGATACTATATCAGATACCGAAATAGATAAGAAAGAAGTTTTAAATTCATTTTGTTGTTAGGAGAAGAATTCCATTTTTTTTTTGTGCGAACAGTAAATATTAAGTTGCTTCTTCCCCCAAAAAATATGTATATAAAGACTGCGAGAGAATATGTGAAAAGTGATTTTCTATTATGTGGGTGGTAGAATTAGTGGTGATTTTTTCTCTATGTGCTCTTCTATATTTTTCAATTTTTCCATAACACACTTATTACTTTTATAATTAGAATTAAACAATTTTAAAGTTTGATATGAGGGTTTAATAACAATAAATTTGGAGCTCTTAATTTTTTTTTTTTTTTTGAGATGAAGTCTGGCTCTGTCACCCAGGCTGGAACACAGTGGCATGATCATGGCTCACTGCAACCTCTGCCTCCCAGGCTCAAGCCATCCTCCCACCTCAGCCTCCCAAGTAGCTGGGACTACAGGTGTGTGCCACCATGCCTGGCTAATTTTTTTTAGTATTTTTAGTAGAGATGGGGTTTCACCATGTTGCCCAGGCTGGTCTCGAACTTGTGAACTCAAGTGATCAAGACTGTCTTGGCTTCCCAAAGTGCTGGGATTATAGGTGTGAGCCATCATGTCTGGCCTTAAACAATTAATTTTTTTTTTTTTTGAGATGGGGTCTCGCTGTGTCGCCCACGCTGGAGCACTGTGGCGTGATCCTGGCACACTGCAAGTTCCGCCTCCCGGGTTCATGCCATTCTCCTGCCTCAGCCTCCAGAGTAGCTAGGATATAGGTGTGTGCCACCATATTCAGCTAATTTTTGAATTTTTTATAGAGGGGGTTTCACTATGTTGCCCAGGCTGGTCTCAAACTCCTGGGCTCAAGCAATCCACCGACCACGGCCTCCCAAAATGCTGGGGTTACAGGCGTGAGCCACTGCGCCCAGCACTGAACACTTAATTGATCCTCAACTAGTTCTTACAATAATCTTAGGAAATACATACTATTATTATTCCTATCTCATAAATAAAGAAACAGATTTGGAGGGTAAGCATTTGTCATACAACAAATGGCAGAAGCTGGTTTCAAACACACGTGGCGTAAACTTCAGAGCCATTCTCTCAACCCCTACTCCCCATAAACAACAAAAATAATGTGTATATGTTAAAAATCCCAATTATTAAAATATGTAAAATGCCTATGTATAAAAAGGCAACTGGGAAGGAAAGACATCAAATTATTCACAATAATAAATGCTGTCTGGGCCGGGCGCGGTGGCTCACGCCTGTAATCCCAGAACTTTGGGAGGCCGAGGTGGGCGGATCACTTGAGGTCAGGAGTTCAAGACAAGCCTGGACAACATGGTGAAACCCTGTCTCTACTAAAAGTACAAAAAGCCGGAAGTGGTAGCGGGCACCTGTAACCCAGCTACGCGGGAGGCTGTGGCAGGAGAATCGCTTGAACCTGGGAGGCGGAGGTTGCAGTGAGTGAGCTGAGATCGTACCACTGTACTCCAGCCTGGGTGACAGGGTGAGACTCTGTCCCAAAAAAAAAAGAATGAGCTAGTGGTCAGGCAGAGGCATAAAGAAGGAGAAGACCTACAACATATTAGAAGATGTAATAATTTTAAAAAAGAGAAAAAAAATCATTCTCCAAGGTCAAATCAGTGTGAATCCTTGGCTCCTGCCTACCTGGATCACTGCTTGAATGAGGAGAGCATACCTTTTGACACTGAACTGTTTCAAGCTGGTTTTCTTAATATGGGGGATGGGATGTACATAACTAAAAAACACTTCATACGGTGGAACTTAGCCAGTTATTTTCCCTAACACATCTAGTTTACTTCTCATAAATCAATGATGACCAATGGAAAGGAGCATTCCCACTCATGTCTTAATATTGAATTTCCTCCCCCAAAGTCAGCAAGTAATAATTTTGGAGGCCCATAAGTGATAGAGTATTATTATCTCTGTGATATAGAAGCTGTAATAAGGGCACCAGGAAGGGAAAAGCATAGGAGTTGAAGATAAACATTTATTTATTTTTTTGAGACAGAGTCTTGCTCTGTGGCCAAGGCTGGAGTGCAGTGGTGCAGTCTCAGCTCACTGCAACCTCCGCCTCCCAGATTCAGGTGATTCTCCTGCCTCAGCCTCCTGAGTAGCTGGGATTACAGGTGCATGCCACCACATCCAGCTAGAAGATAAGAATTTACATAAGGCCTACGATGAGCCTGACACCCTGACACTTTCACGTATGACCCTGTGAGGTATGTTATTACTTCCATTTTACAGATAGGAAAGCTAAGGCTTAAAAAGGTAAAGTGCCCTGCTGGGCGCGGTGGCTCATGCCTGTAATCCCAGCACTTTGGGAGGCTGAGGCGGGTGGATTACAAGATCAGGAGATCAAGACCATCCTGGCTAACACAATGAAACCCTGTCTCTACTAAAATACAAAAAATTAGCCGGGCGTGCCAGGCGCGGTGGCTCACGCCTGTAATCCTAGCACTTTGGGAGGCCGAGGCGGGTGGATCACGAGGTCAGGAGATCGAGGCCATTCTGGCTAACACTGTGAAACCCCGTCTCTACTAAAAATACAAAAAATCAGCTGGGCGTGGTAGCGGGCGCCTATAGTCCCAGCTACTCGGGAGGCTGAGGCAAGCGAATGACGTGAACCCGGGAGGCGGAGCTTGCAGTGAGCGGAGATCGTGCCACTGCACTCCAGCCTGGGCGACAGAGCGAGACTCCATCTCAAAAAAAAAAAAAAAAAAAAAAAATTAGCCGGGCATGGCGGCATGCGCCTGTAGTCCCAGCTGCTAGGGAGGCTGAGGTAGAAGAAACTCTTGAACCTGGGAGGCGGAGGTTGCAGTGAGCCAAGATTGTGCCACTGCACTCTAGCCTGGGAGACAGAGCAAGACTCGGTCTCAAAAAAAAAAAAAAAAAAAAAAGTAAAGTGACAGTTTTTAAGCGTGGGGCTAAAATTTGAACCCAGATCTGGGCCTCTACACTGAATGGGTCTTCACAAGTGGAGGAAAGATAAGAAATTTCATTTATGCTTGACCTGTCCTCTCACGCATGGACTCCAGTCACACTGACCTTCTCCTAGGCCTAGGGAAAGGACACCTAATCCCTGAGGGAAGATGTTAGCTCACCTCTCTTGTGTCTTTATCCGGTATTAGCGTCTGAAAGAAGAGGTGATGAACCGGAGGACGTAAGAAGTACTTCAGTCTATGCAGGCATGGTCTGTTGTACAACCCACCTTGTGGTGTTCGTGATTGTACGTGGGCAGACCCAGGTTTGGCAGGCTCTGACAGTGATATTTCTTTTCTGGCTGGGGTTTCCATGACAGAGAGCCAAGGAACTTTCTCTAAGGGAGTTTCAGACTGTGGGCTGGGAGAGCAGCTTGGAGAGGACAGAGCTGAGATATCCATAGGCATGTCACGGTTCTGTACATCATTCTGGGTAAAGTCAGGCCTGTCTCCTGGTAAGTGAGGGATGTCTCTAGGTGAGTGTGTCACGTCCCCTGATGAGTGTGGCATGTCTCCAGGTGAATGTAACACATCTCCCGGTAAGTGTGGCATGCCCCCTGGTGACTGTGGTGCATCTGGTGACGGTGAAACATCACTTGGTGACTGTGGCACATCTCCTGGTGACCGTGGCATGTCTTGCAGGTATGCCACATCTTGTGGATGTAATATGCTTTGAGGCAGCCCTGGCACATCTTGAGGTAGGCCCAGAGAGTCTTGAGGTGGGCCTGGGATATTCTGCCGAGGGCATGGCACTTCTTGAGGTGGGTGAGTTAGAGCTGGTAGTTGGCACTGCATGGTTTGTGATGGGCATGACAAGGCTCGTGGTGGGCATGAGGAGGCTCGTGGTGGACATGGTGAGGCTCTCGGTGGGCATGGCAAAGGTCGCAGGGGGCACGGCAAGGCCTGTGGTGGGCGAGATACATCTTGCTGTGGGCATGGCAAGGGTGCTTTTTGATTGCTGCTGCTGCTGCTGCTCCTACTATTATTGCTTGTTGGGGAGAGGGAGCTAACATCTGAAGACAGCTGTAGACTTGCCAAGAAGCTGAGGTTACCTGTGAATGTGGCTGAGCTACAATTAGGCTCTGTTGGATAAACAGAGCCTCCACTGATGGATGTAGCGGGTGGGGGACCTACAAAGGTGTTTTCTTCCACTAGGTCCAAATCTACAGGATCACTGTTAATGATTCTCCGTGCTGTAGGCTGAGAGCTTCTGTCCACGTGCCCTTCCATCACCGCTTTGCCAGAGAGGCTGGCACATGTCTGAAGACTGGTTGGCTCCTTCTGGGAAGGAGTGACAGGTTCTAAAGTTAAGTCAAGAGTGGCAATAGGTCTATTTTCTCCCTCAGCTCTTGTCAGGTCAATCACATACAGTCCACTGCGATCTTTTGTCCTTGGTCTGGTCTCTCTAGTTAAGTCAATGAAGTCCTGTTGAAGGATTGTGTGAAGAAAAGAGGTCAAGATGGGAGTATTAGCTTTATCTGAGATGACTTAAGTCTTAGCTTTTAAGGATAAGCATTACTTTACCATTTCACCTCACTGATAAGTTACACATCTTGTGTAACATAAGCAATAGTATTGCCAAAGCTGTCAATTTCTATACCTTCTTAAATTCTCCAAATGCCACATACGCATGACTAGGATCACAGTGGGATTTTTTTTTTTTCTGGTCCAAGGAGGACAGGGGAGTAGTAGGAGATATTCCAACCTTAAGTCATAAAGTCAAAAGCAACCTTTGTTTGGAAGGTCAAATACACAGGATAACCTACAACAAAAACTAAATAAGAAGTGAAGCAAATGTGAAAGAATCTATGTGCTAAGAACATGTTGAGTATTTTCACATATCTTTAATTTTCACAATGACCTGATAAGGTAGGCATTATCAATCCATCATACAGATGGGGAAACTAGAGTTCAGAGGGGTTAGGTTATCTACCTTAAGATTATACAGCTAAGTAGCAGAGACAGACATTCAAACACAGATCTGTCTCCTTCTTTCCCTGTGAGGGCCTAGGAATGTACAACTTGATTCAATGTGTAATCAACCTAGAAACAGATATGAAAGATAATATAACAAGGGTAATAAAACCAATAGTGTAAGTCTGAGCCCTAAGTAAGTAAATTAATGAAAACTTCCGATCTCCACTTCCATTCCTTGGCAAACTGATCAGGCTATTCACAAAGCCTAATGATACAGTACAGAGGTATTGTAATCAACCTCTGTACCATGAGCCTGGAAAAATATTGCTCTACCTTCTGTCTTCTCACTTACTTGGATACTACTGCCACTGGTACTTTAGGGCCCTGAGGCTAGCAATACTATTGCTGCTATCACAGCTACCATGCTATTTCTCTTAATAGATGGTCACCATTGTTAACAGCACCAAAGCAGAATACAGAATTCTGAGTGGGTCAAGTGAGAAGTTGGCATCCTGGAATAGGGATTGCTTGGTGAAATCTAATGCCTCATTCTTAGGAAGCAGCCATATAGTATCACCACCTTTGGTGGCTTGGCTCTCAATGGCAAGAACTGAACATAAATAGCTGAAAGGCCATCAAAGGTCTGAACTCAACTCCTCTCCCATAGCCAACTGCTAAAATGCAACATCACCAGGTCTCTCCCATTTATTTATTTATTTATTTATTTATTTATTTATTCATTCATTCATTCTTGAGATGGAGTCTCGCTCTGTTAGCCTAGGCTGGAGTGCAGTGGTACAATCTTGGCTCACTGCAAACTCTGCCTCCTGGGTTCACGTGATTCTCCTGCCTCAGCCTCCCAAGTAGCTGGGATTACAGATGTACACCACCACACCAGACTAATTTCTGTATTTTTAGTAGAGATGAGGTTTCACCATGTTGGCCAGGCTGGTCTCGAACTCCTGACCTCAGGTGATTCCCCGGCTTTGGCCTCCCAAAGTGCTGGGATTACAGGCACGAGCCACTGTGCCTGGACTATTTAAAACCCATCACCGGCTAGGCGCGGTGGATCACCTAGGGCCTAGGAATGTTTGCTTTTTTCATTTTACCTGGAATGACTATCATCCCTTTGATTGTTTGGAGTTTCTTGTCTTTCAAGACACAGCACAGACACCACAGAAGTGATCCTTCCAGATCACTTCTCCCCGCTGGTTAAACTAACCCCTTCCTCTATCATGTCTCCACTGAACCTATGCAAACCTCTCTCTCTATCCTCAAGAATTTAATGATATTGAAAATAGAAATGTATTTTTATTTCATTTTCCAATTGTCCATTGCTAATATAAATATACTTGATTTATGTATATTGATACTGTATCCTGCAACCTTGCTAAGTTCACTAGTTTGAGTAAACTTTTTTTTGTCGATTCCTTAGGATTTTTTTTTTCTTTTTTTATTCTTTCAATTTATTTTATTTTTTTAAGTGTTTGCTTACATTTTATTTTTATTTATTTTTAACTTTTTAAAAAATTATTATATTTTAAGTTCTAGGGTACATGTGCACAACATGCAGGTTTGTTACATATGTGTACATGTGCGATGTTGGTGTGCTGCAACCATTAAGTCGTCATTTACATTAGATATATCTCCTAATGCTATCCCTCCCGTAGCCACCCACCCCACTACAGGCCCCGGTGTGTTGATGTTGCCCTTCCTGTGTCCAAGTGTTCTCATTGTTCAATTCCCACCTATGAGTGAGAACATGCAGTGTTTGGTTTTCTGTCCTTGCGATAGTTTACTGAGAATGATGATTTCCAGCTTCATCCATGTCCCTACAAAGGACATGAACTCATCATTTTTTATGGCTGCATAGTATTCCATGGTGTATATGTGCCACATTTTCTTAATCCAGTGTATCATTGATGGATATTTGGGTTGGTTCCAAGTCTTTGCTATTGTGAATAGTACCACAATAAACATACGTGTGCATGTGTCTTTACAGCAGCATGATTTATAATCCTTTGGGTATATACCCAGTAATGGGATGGCTGGGTCAAATGGTATTTCTAGTTCTAGATCCTTGAGGAATCGCCACACTGTCTTCCACAATGGTTGAACTAGTTTACAGTCCCACCAACAGTGTAAAAGTGTTCCTATTTCTTCACATCCTCTCAAGCACCTGTCGTTTCCTGACTTTTTAATGATTGCCATTCTAACTGGTGTGATATGGTATCTCATTGTGGTTTTGATATGCATTTCTCCGATAGCCAGTGATGATGAGCATTTTTTCATGTGTCTGTTGGCTGCATAAATGTCTTCTTTTGAGAAGTATCTGTTCATATATTTCGCCCACTTTTTGATAGGGTTGATTTTTTCTTGTAAATTTGTTTAAGTTCTTTGTAGATTCTGGATATTAGCCCTTTGTCAGATGGGCAGATTGCAAAAATTTTCTCCCATTCTGTAGGTTGCCTGTTCACTCTGATGGTAGTTTCTTTTGCTGTGCAGAAGCTCTTTAATTAGATCCCGTTTGTCAATTTTGGCTTTTGCTGCCATTGCTTTTGGTGTTTTAGACATGAAGTCTTTGCCTATGCCTATGTCCTGTATGGTATTGCCTAGGTTTTCTTCTAGGGTTTTTATGCTTTTAGATCTAACATTTAAGTCTTTAATCCATCTTGAATTAATTTTTGTATAAGGTATAAGGAAGGGATCCAGTTTCAGCTTTCTACATTTGGCTGGTCAGTTTTCCCAGCACCATTTATTAAATAGGGAATCCTTTCCCCATTGCTTGTTTTTGTCAGGTTTGTCAAAGATCAGATGGTTGTAGATGTGTGGTATTATTTCTGAGGGCTCTGTTCTGTTCCATTGCTCTATATCTCTGTTTTGGTACCAGTACCATCCTGTTTTGTTTACTGTAGCCTTGTAGTATAGCTTGAAGTCAGGTAGCATGATGCCTCCAGCTTTGTTCTTTTTGCTTAGGACTGTCTTGGCAATGCAGGCTCTTTTCTGCTTCCATATGAACTTTAAAGTAGTTTTTTTCCAATTCTGAGAAGAAAGTCATTGGTAGCTTCATGGAGATGGCATTGAATCTATAAATTACCTTGGGCAGTATGGCCATTTTCACGATATTGATTCCTCCTATCCATGAGCATGGAATGTTCTTCCATTTGTTTGTGTCCTCTTTTATTTCGTTGAGCAGTGGTTTGTAGTTCTCCTTGAAGAGGTCCTTCACATCCCTTGTAAGTTGGATTCCTAGGTATTTTATTCTCTTTGAAGCAATTGTGAATGGGAGTTCACTCATGATTTGGCTCTCTGTCTGTTATTGGTGCATAAGAATGCTTGTGATTTTTTGCACATTGATTTTGTATCCTGAGACTTTGCTGAAGTTGCTTATCAGCTTAAGGAGATTTTGGGCTGAGACGATGGGGTTTTCTAAATATACAATCATGTCATCTGCAAACAGGGACAATTTGACTTCCTCTTTTCCTAATTGAATACCCTTTATTTCCTTCTCCTGCCTAATTGCCCTGGCCAGAACTTCCAACACTATGTTGAATAGGAGTGGTGAGAGAGGGCATCCCTGTCTTGTGCCAGTTTTCAAAGGGAATGCTTCCAGTTTTTGCCCATTCAGTATGATATTGGCTGTGGGTTTGTCATAAACAGCTCTTATTATTTTGAGATACGTCCCATCAATAACTAATTTATTGAGAGTTTTTAGCATGAAGTGCTGTTGAATTTTGTCAAAGGCCTTTTCTGCATCTATTGAGATAATCATGTGGTTTTTGTCTTTGGTTCTGTTTATATGCTGGATTACATTTATTGATTTCTGTATATTGAACCAGCCTTGCATCCCAGGGATGAAGCCCACTTGATCATGGTGGATAAGCTTTTTGATGTGCTGCTGGATTCGGTTTGCCAGTATTTTATTGAGGATTTTTGCATCAATGTTCATCAGGGATATTGGTCTAAAATTCTCTTTTTTGGTTGTGTCTCTGCCCGGCTTTGGTATCAGGATGATGCTGGCCTCATAAAATGAGTTAGGGAGGATTCCCTCTTTTTCTATCAATTGGAATAGTTTCAGAAGGAATGGTACCAGCTCCCCCTTGTACCTCTGGTAGAATTTGGCTGTGAATCCATCTGGTCCTGGACTTTAGAATTTGGCTGTGAATCCGTCTGGTCCTGGACTTTTTTTGGTTGGTAGGCTATTAATTATTGCCTCAATTTCAGAGCCTGTTATTGGTCTATTCAGGGATTCAACTTCTTCCTGTTTTAGTCTTGGGAGGGTGTATGTGTCCAGGAATTTATCCATTTCTTCTAGATTTTCTAGTTTATTTGCATAGAGGTGTTTATAGTATTTTCTGAGGTTAGTTTGTATTTCTGTGGGATCGGTGGTGATAACCCCTTTATCATTTTTTATTGCCCAGCTCCTAGATTCATTGATTTTTTGAAGGGCTTTTTGTGTCTCTATCTCCTTCAGTTCTGCTCTGATCTTAGTTATTTCTTGCCTTCCGCTGGCTAGCTTTTGAATGTGGTTGCTCTTGCTTCTGTAGTTCTTTTAATTGTGATGTTAGGGTGTCAATTTTAGATCTTTCCTGCTTTCTCTTGCGGGCATTTAGTGCTATAAATTTCCCTCTACACACTGCTTTAAATGTATCCCAGAGATTCTGGTATGTTGTGTCTTTGTTCTCATTGGTTTCAAAGAGCACCTTTATTTCTGCCTTCATTTCATTATGTACCCCAGTAGTCATTCAATAGCAGGTTGTTCAGTTTCCATGTAGTTGAGCGGTTTTGAGTGAGTTTCTTAATCCTGAGTTCTAGTTTGATTGCACTGTGGTCTGAGAAACAGTTTGTTATAATTTCTGTTTTTACATTTGCTGAGGAGTGCTTTACTTCCAACTATGTGGTCAGTTTTGGAATAAGTATGGTGTGGTGCTGAGAAGAATGTATATTCTGTTCATTTGGGGTGGAGAGTTCTGTAGATGTCTAGTAGGTCCGCTTGGTACAGAGCTGAGTTCAATTCCTGGATATCTTTGTTGACTTTCTATCTCATTGATCTGTCTAATGGTGACAGTGGGGTGTTAAAGTCTCCCATTATTATTGTGTGGGAGTCTAAGTCTCTTTGCAGGTCTCTAAGGACTTGCTTTATGAATCTGGGGGCTCCTGTATTGGGTGCATATATATTTAGGATAGTTAGGTCTTCTTGTTGAATTAATCCCTTTACCATTATGTAATGGCCTTCTTTGTCTATTTTTATCTTTGTTGCTTTAAAGTCTGTTTTATCAGAGACTAGGATTGCAACCCCTGCCTTTTTTTGTTTTCCATTTGCTTGGTAGATCTTCCTCCATCCCTTTATTTTGAGCCTATGTGTGCCTCTGCATGTGAGATGGGTCTCCTGAATACAGCACACTGATGGGTCTTGACTCTTTATTCAATTTGCCAGTCTGTGTCTTTTAATTGGAGCATTGGGCACATCTACATTTAAGGTTAATATTGTTATGTGTGAATTTGATCCTGTCATTATGATGTTAGCTGGTTAGTTTGCTCATTAGTTGATGCAGTTTCTTCCTAGTCTCAATGGTCTTTACAATTTGGCATGGTTTTGCAGTGGCTGCTAACGGTTCTTCCTTTCCATGTTTAGTGCTTCCTTCAGGAGCTCTTGTAGGGCAGGCCTGGTGGTGACAAAATCTCTCAGCATTTGCTTCTCTGTAAAGGATTTTATTTCTCCTTCGCTTATGAAGCTTCGTTTGGCTGGATATGAAATTCTGTGTTGAAAATTCTTTTCTTTAAGAATGTTGAATACTGGCCCCCACTCTCTTCTGGCTTATAGAGTTTCTGCCAAGAGATTAGCTGTTAGTCTGATGGGCTTCCCTTTGTGGGTAACCCAACCTTTCTCTCTGGCTGCCCTTAACATTTTTTCCTTCATTTCAACTTTGTTGAATCTGACAATTATGTGTCTCAGAGTTGCTCTTCTCAAGGAGTATCTTTGTGGCATTCTCTATACTTCCCGAATTTGAATGTTGGCCTTCCTTGCTAGGTTGGGAAAGTTCTACTGGATGATATCCTGAAGAGTGTTTTCCAACTTGGTTCCATTCTCCCCATCACTTTCAGGTACACCAATGAGACGCAGATTTGGTCTTTTCACATAGTCCCATATTTCTTGGAGGCTTTGTTCGTTTCTTTTTACTCTTTTTTCTCCAAACTTCTCTTCTTGCTTCATTTCATTCATTTGATCTTCAATCACTGATACCCTTTCTTCCAGTTGATCGAATCGGCTACTGAAGCTTGTGCATGCATCACGTAGTTCTCGTGTCATGGTTTTCAGCTCCATCAGGTCATTTAAGGACTTCTCTTCATTGGTTATTGTAGTTAGCCATTCGTCTAATCTTTTCTCAAGGTTTTTAGCTTCTTTGCGATGGGTTCAAACATGCTCCTTTAGCTAGAAGAAGTTTGATTGTCTGAAGTCTTGTTCTCTCAACTCGTCAAAGTCATTCTCTGTCCAGCTTTGCTCTGTTGCTGGCGAGGAGCTGCATTCCTTTGGAGGAGAAGAGGCACTCTGACTTTTAGAATTTTCAGCTTTTCGGGGGGAGGAGCCAAGATGGCCGAATAGGAACAGCTCCGGTCTACAGCTCCCAGCGTGAGCGACGCAGAAGACGGGTGATTTCTGCATTTCCATCTGAGGTACCGGGTTCATCTCACTGGGGAGTGCCAGACAGTGGGCGCAGGTCAGTGGGTGCAGCGCACCATGCGCGAGCCGAAGCAGGGCGAGGCATTGCCTCACTCCGGAAGCGCAAGGGGTCAGGGAGTTCCCTTTCCTAGTCAAAGAAAGGGGTGACAGACGGCACCTGGAAAATCGGATCACTCCCACCCTAATACTGCGCTTTTCCGACGGGCTTAAAAAAGGGCGCACCAGGAGATTATATCCTGCACCTGGCTTGGAGGGTCCTACGCCCATGGAGTCTTGCTGATTGCTAGCACAGCAGTCTGAGATCAAACTGCAAGGCGGCAGCGAGGCTGCAGGAGGGGCGCCCGCCATTGCCCAGGCTTGCTTAGGTAAACAAAGCAGCCGGGAAGCTCCAACTGGGTGAAGCCCACCACAGCTCAAGGAGGCCTGCCTGCCTCTGTAGGCTCCACCTCTGGGGGCAGGGCACAGACAAACAAAAAGACAGCAGTAACCTCTGCAGACTTAAATGTCCCTGTCTGACAGCTTTGAAGAGAGCAGTGGTTCTCCCAGCACGCAGCTGGAGATCTGAGAACGGGCAGACTGCCTCCTCAAGTTGGTCCCTGACCCCTGACCCCTGAGCAGCCTAACTGGGAGGCACCCCCAAGTAGGGGGAGACTGACACCTCACACGGCCGGGTACTCCTCTGAGACAAAACTTCCAGAGGAACGATCAGACGGCAGCATTCGCGGTTCACGAAAAACCACTGTTCTGGAGACAACGCTGCTGATACCCAGGCAAACAGGGTCTGGAGTGGACCTCTAGCAAACTCCAACAGACCTGCAGCTGAGGGTCCTGTCTGTTAGAAGGAAAACTAACAAACAGAAAGGACATCCACACCAAAAACCCATCCGTACATCACCATCATCAAAGACCAAAAGGAGATAAAATCACAAAGATGGGGAAAAAGCAGAGCAGAAAAACTGGAAACTCTAAAAAGCAGAGCACCTCTCCTCCTCCAAAGGATCGCAGTTCCTCACCAGCAATGGAACAAAGCTGGACGGAGAATGACTTTGACGAGTTGAGAGAAGAAGGTTTCAGACGATCAAACTACAAGCTACAGGAGGATATTCAAACCAAAGGCAAAGAAGTTAAAAACTTTGAAAAAAATTTAGACGAATGTATAACTAGAATAACCAATACAGAGAAGTGCTTAAAGGAGCTGATGGAGCTGAAAGCCAAGGCTCGAGAACTACGTGAAGCATGCAGAAGCCTCAGGAGCTGATGTGATCAACTGGAAGAAAGGGTATCAGCGATGGAAGATGAAATGAATGAAATGAAGCAAGAAGGGAAGTTTAGAGAAAAAAGAATAAAAAGAAATGAACAAAGCTTCCAAGAAATATGGGACTATGTGAAAAGAACAAATCTACGTCTGATTGGTGTACCTGAAAGTGATGGGGAGAATGGAACCAAGTTGGAAAACACTCTGCAGGATATCATCCAGGAGAACTTCCCCAATCTAGCAAGGCAGGCCAACATTCAGATTCAGGAAATACAGAGAACGCCACAAAGATACTCCTTGAGAAGAGCAATTCCAAGACACATAATTGTCAGATTCACCAAAGTTGAAATGAAGGAAAAAATGTTAAGGGCAGCCAGAGAGAAAGGTCGGGTTACCCACAAAGGGAAGCCCACCAGACTAACAGCGGATCTCTTGGGAGAAACTCTACAAGCCGGAAGAGACTGGGGGCCAGTATTCAACATTCTTAAAGAATTTTCAACCCAGAATTTCATATCCAGCCAAACGAAGCTTCATAAGTGAAAGAGAAATAAAATCCTTTACAGAGAAGCAAATGCTGAGAGATTTTGTCACCACCAGGCCTGCCGTACAAGAGCTCCTGAAGGAAGCACTAAACATGGAAAGGAACAACCGGTACCAGCCGCTCCAAAATCATGCCAAAATGTAAAGACCATCGAGACTAGGAAGAAACTGCATCAACTAACGAGCAAAATAACCAGCTAACATCATAATGACAGGTTCAAATTCACACATAACAATATTAACTTTAAATGTAAATGGACTAAATGCTCCAATTAAAAGACACAGACTGGCAAATTGGATAAAGACACATGCAGAGACACACATAGGCTCAAAATAAAAGGATGGAGGAAGACCTACCAAGCAAATGGAAAACAAAAAAAAGGCAGGGGTTGCAATCCTAGTCTCTGATAAAACAGACTTTAAACCAACAAAGATCAAAAGAGACAAAGAAGGCCATTAGATAATGGTAAAGGGATCAATTCAACAAGAAGACCTAACTATCCTAAATATATATACACCCAATACAGGAGCACCCAGATTCATAAAGCAAGTCCTGAGTGACCTACAAAGAGACTTAGACTCCCACACATTAATAATGGGAGACTTTAACACCCCACTGTCAACATTAGACAGATCAACAAGACAGAAAGTCAACAAAGATACCCAGGAATTGAACTCAGCTCTGCACCAAGCGGACCTAATAGACATCTACAGAACTCTCCACCCCAAATCAACAGAATATACATTTTTTTCAGCACCGCACCACACCTATTCCAAAATTGACCACATACTTGGAAGTAAAGCTCTCCTCAGAAAATGTAAAAGAACAGAGATTACAACAAACTATCTCTCAGACCACAGTGCAATCAAACTAGAACTCAGGATTAAGAATCTCACTCAAAACTCCTCAACTACATGGAAACTGAACAACCTGCTCCTGAATGACTACTGGGTACATAACGAAATGAAGGCAGAAATAAAGATGTTCTTTGAAACCAACGAGAACAAAGACACAACATACCAGAATCTCTGGGACGCATTCAAAGCAGTGTGTAGAGGGAAATTTATAGCACTAAATGCCCACAAGAGAAAGCAGGAAAGATCCAAAATTGACACCCTAACATCACAATTAAAAGAACTAGAAAAGCAAGAGCAAACACATTCAAAAGCTAGCAGAAGGCAAGAAATAACTAAAATCAGAGCAGAACTGAAGGAAATAGAGACACAAAAAACCCTTCAAGAAATTAATGAATCCAGAAGCTGGTTTTTTGAAACGATCAACAAAATTGATAGACCGCTAGCAAGACTAATAAAGAAAAAAAGAGAGAAGAATCAAATAGACGCAATAAAAAATGATAAAGGGGATATCACCACCAATCCCACAGAAACACAAAGAATACTACAGAGAATACACAAAGAACCATCAGAGAATACTACAAACACCTCTACGCAAATAAACTAGAAAATCTAGAAGAAATGGATAAATTCCTCGACACATACACTCTCCCAACACTAAACCAGGAAGAAGTTGAATCTCTGAATAGACCAATAACAGGATCTGAAATTGTGGCAACAATCAATAGCTTACTAACCAAAAAGAGTCCAGGACCAGATGGATTCACAGCCGAATTCTACCAGAGGTATAAGGAGGAGCTGGTACCACTCCTTCTGAAACTATTCCAATCAATAGAAAAAGAGAGAATCCTTCCTAACTCATTTTATGGGGCCAGCATCATTCTGATAACAAAGCCGGGCAGAGACACAACCAAAAAAGAGACTTTTAGACCAATATCCTTGATGAACATTGATGCAAAAATCCTCAATAAAATACTGGCAAACCGAATCCAGCAGCACATCAAAAAGCTTATCCACCATGATCAAGTGGGCTTCATCCCTGGGATGCAAGACTGGTTCAATATATGCAAAACAATAAATGTAATCCAGCATATAAACAGAGCCAAAGACAAAAACCACATGATTATCTCAATAGATGCAGAAAAAGCCTTTGACAAAATTCAACAACCCTTCATGCTAAAAACTCTCAATAAATTAGGTATTGATGGGACGTATTTCAAAATAATAAGAGCTATCTATGACAAACCCACAGCCAATATCATACTGAATGGGCAAAAACTGGAAGCATTCCCTTTGAAAACTGGCACAAGACAGGGATGTCCTCTCTCACCACTCCTATTCAACATAGTGTTGGAAGTTCTGGCCAGGGCAATTAGGCAGGAGAAGGAAATAAAGGGTATTCAATTAGGAAAAGAGGAAGTCAAATTGTCCCTGTTTGCAGACGACATGATTGTATATCTAGAAAACCCCATTGTCTCAGCCCAAAATCTCCTTAAGCTGATAAGCAACTTCAGCAAAGTCTCAGGATACAAAATCAATGTACAAAAATCACAAGCATTCTTATACACCAACGACAGACAAACAGAGAGCCAAATCATGAGTGAACTCCCATTCACAATTGCTTCAAAGAGAATAAAATACCTAGGAATCCAACTTACAAGGGACGTGAAGGACCTCTTCAAGGAGAACTACAAACCACTGCTCAAGGAAATAAAAGAGGATACAAACAAATGGAAGAACATTCCATGCTCATGGGTAGGAAGAATCAATATCATGAAAATGGCCATACTGCCCAAGGTAATTTATAGATTCAATGCCATCCCCATCAAGCTACCAATGACTTTCTTCACAGAATTGGAAAAAACTACTTTAAAGTTCATATGGAACCAAAAAAGAGCCCACATCGCCAAGTCAATCCTAAGCCAAAAGAACAAAGCTGGAGGCATCACGCTACCTGACTTCAAACTATACTACAAGGCTACAGTCACCAAAACAGCATGGTACTGGTACCAAAACAGAGATATAGATCAATGGAACAGAACAGAGCCCTCAGAAATAACACCGCATATCTACAACCATCTGATCTTTGACAAACCTGAGAAAAACAAGCAATGGGGAAAGGATTCCCTAGTTAATAAATGGTGCTGGGAAAACCGGCTAGCCATATGTAGAAAGCTGAAACTGAATCCCTTCCTTACACCTTATACAAAAATCAATTCAAGATAGATTAAAGACTTAAACGTTAGACCTAAAACTATAAAAACCCTAGAAGAAAACCTAGGCATTACCATTCAGGACATAGGCATGGGCAAGGACTTCACGTCTAAAACACCAAAAGCAATGGCAACAAAAGCCAAAATTGACAAATGGGATCTAATTAAACTAAAGAGCTTCTGCACAGCAAAAGAAACTACCATCAGAGTGAACAGGCAACCTACAAAATGGGAGAAAATTTTTGCAACCCACTCATCAGACAAAGGGCTAATATCCAGAATCTACAATGAACTCAAACAAATTTACAAGAAAAAAACAAAGAACCCCATCAAAAAGTGGGCGAAGGACATGAACAGACACTTCTCAAAAGAAGACATTTATGCAGCCAAAAAACACATGAAAAAATGCTCATCATCACTGGCCATCAGAGAAATGCAAATCAAAACCACAATGAGATACCATCTAACACCAGTTAGAATGGCAATCATTAAAAAGTCAGGAAACGACAGGTGCTGGAGAGGATGTGGAGAAACAGGAACACTTTTACACTGTTGGTGGGACTGTAAACTAGTTCAACCATTGTGGAAGTCAGTGTGGCGATTCCTCAGGGATCTGGAACTGGAAATACCATTTGACCCAGCCATCCCATTACTGGGTATATACCCAAAGGACTATAAATCATGCTGCTATAAAGACACATGTACACGTATGTTTACTGCGGCATTATTCACAATAGCAAAGACTTGGAACCAACCCAAATGTCCAACAATGATAGACTGGATTAAGAAAATGTGGCACATATACACCATGGAATACTATGCAGCCATAAAAAATGATGAGTTCATGTCCTTTGTAGGGACATGGATGAAATTGGAAATCATCATTCTCAGTAAACTATCGCAAGAACAAAAAACCAAACACCGCATATTCTCACTCATAGGTGGGAATTGAACAATGAGATCACATGGACACAGAAAGGGGAATATCACGCTCTGGGGACTGTTGTGGGGTGGGGGGAGGGGGGAGGGATAGCATTGGGAGATATACCTAATGCTAGATGATGAGTTAGTGGGTGCAGCGCACCAGCACAGCACATGTATACATATGTAACTAACCTGCACAATGTGCACATGTACCCTAAAACTTAAAGTATAATAAAAAAAAAAGAAAAAAAAATTAATGAATCCAGGATCTGGTTTTTTGAAAGGACCAACAAAATTGATAGACCGCTAGCAAGACTAATAAAGAAAAAAAGAGAGAAGAATCAAACAGTCGCAATAAAAAATGATAAAGGGGAGATCACCACCGATCCCAAAGAAATACAAACTACCATCAGAGAATACTACAAACACCTCTATGCAAATAAACTAGAAAATCTAGAAGAAATGGATAAATTCCTTGAAAAATACACCCTCCTAAGACTAAACCAGGAAGAAGTTGAATCTCTGAACAGACCAATAGCAGGAGCTGAAATTGTGGCAATAATCAATAGCTTACTAACCAAAAAGAGTTCAGGATCAGATGGATTCACAGCCGAATTCTACCAGAGGTACAAGGAGGAACTGGTACCATTCCTTCTGAAACTATTCCAATCAATAGAAAATGAGGGAATCCTCCCTAACTCATTTTATGAGGCCAGCATCATCCTGATACCAAAGCCGGGCAGAGACACAACCAAAAAAGAGAATTTTAGACCAATATCCTTGATGAACATTGATGCAAAAATCCTCAATAAAATACTAGCAAACCGAATCCAGCAGCACATCAAAAAGCTTATCCACCATGATCAAGTGGGCTTCATCCCTGGGATGCAAGGCTGGTTCAATATACGGAAATCAATAAATGTAATCCAGCATATAAACAGAACCAAAGACAAAAACCACATGATTATCTCAATAGATGCAGAAAAGGTTGTTGACAAAATTCAACAACCTTCATGCTAAAAACTCTCAATAAATTAGGTGTTGATGGGACGTATCTCAAAATAATAAGAGCTATCTATGACAAACCCACAGCCAATATCATACTGAATGGGCAAAAACTGGAAGCATTCCCTTTGAAAACTGGCACAAGACAGGGATGCCCTCTCTCACCACTCCTCTTCAACACAGTGTTGGAAGTTCTGGCCAGGGCAATCAGGCAGGAGAAGGAAATAAAGGGTATTCAATTAGGAAAAGAGGAAGTCAAATTGTCCTTGTTTGCAGATGACATGATTGTATATTTAGAAAAGCCCATTGTCTCAGACCAAAATCTCCTTAAGCTGATAAGCAACTTCAGCAAAGTCTCAGGATACAAAATCAATGTACAAAAATTACAAGCATTCTTATACACCAATAACAGACAGAGAGCCAAATCATGAGTGAACTCCCATTCACAATTGCTTCAAAGAGAATAAAATACCTAGGAATCCAACTTACAAGGGACGTGAAGGACCTCTTCAAGGAGAACTACAAACCACTGCTCAAGGAAATAAAAGAGGATACAAACAAATGGAAGAACATTCCATGCTCATGGGTAGGAAGAATCAATATCATGAAAATGGCCATACTGCCCAAGGTAATTTATAGATTCAATGCCATCCCCATCAAGCTACCAATGACTTTCTTCACAGAATTGGAAAAACTACTTTAAAGTTCATACGGAACCAAAAAAGAGCCCACATCGCCAAGTCAATCCTAAGCCAAAAGAACACTGCTGGAGGCATCACGCTACCTGACTTCAAACTATACTACAAGGCTACAGTAACCAAAAGAGCATGGTACTGGTACCAAAACAGAGAGAGAAATAATGCCGCCTATCTACAACCATCTGATCTTTGACAAACCTGAGAAAAAAAAGCAATGGGGAAAGGATTCCCTAGTTAATAAATGGTGCTGGGAAAACTGGCTAGCCATATGTAGAAAGCTGAAACTGGATCCCTTCCTTACACCTTATACGAAAATCAATTCAAGATGGATTAAAGACTTAAATGTTAGACCTAAAACCATAAAAACCCTAGAAGAAAACCTAGGCATTACCATTCAGGACATAGGCAAGGGCAAGGACGTCATATCTAAAACACCAAAAGCAATGGCAACAAAAGCCAAAATTGACAAATGGGATCTAATTAAACTAAAGAGCTTCTGCACAGCAAAAGAAACTACCATCAGAGTGAACAGGCAACCCACAAAATTGGAGAAAATTTTTGCAACCTACTCATCTGACAAAGGGCTAATATCCAGAATCTACAATGAACTCAAGCAAATTTACAAGAAAAAAACAAACAACCCCATCAAAAAGTGGGCGAAGGACATGAACAGACACTTCTCAAAAGAAGACATTTATGCAGCCAAAAAACACATGAAAAAATGCTCATCATCACTGGCCATCAGAGAAATGCAAATCAAAACCACAATGAGATATCATCTCACACCAGTTAGAATGGCAATCATTAAAAAGTCAGGAAACAACAGGTGCTGGAGAGGATGTGGAGAAATAGGAACACTTTTATACTGTTGGTGGGACTGTAAACTAGTTCAACCATTGTGGAAGTCAGTGTGGCGATTCCTCAGGGATCTAGAACTAGAAATACCATTTGACCCAGCC
Source organism: Homo sapiens (assembly GCF_000001405.40). NCBI lineage: Eukaryota > Metazoa > Chordata > Mammalia > Primates > Hominidae > Homo > Homo sapiens. The sequence goes on along the minus strand of NC_000005.10, from coordinate 176,274,030 downwards.
ATCCCATTACTGGGTATATACCCAAAGGACTATAAATCATGCTGCTGTAAAGACACATGCACACGTATGTTTATTGTGGCACTATTCACAATAGCAAAGACTTGGAACCAACCCAAATGTCCAACAATGATAGACTGGATTAAGAAAATGTGGCACATATACACCATGGAATACTATGCAGCCATAAAAAATGAGGAGTTCATGTCCTTTGTAGGGACATGGATGAAACTGGAAATCATCATTCTCAGTAAACTATCGCAAGAACAAAAAACCAAACACCGCATATTCTCACTCATAGGTGGGAATTGAACAATGAGAACACATGGACACAGGAAGGGAAACATCACACTCTGGGGACTGTTGTGGGGTGAGGTGAGGGGGGAGGGATAGCATTGGGAGATATACCTAATGCTAGATGACGAGTTACTGGGTGCAGTGCACCAGCATGTCACATGTATACATATGTAACTAACCTGCACATTGTGCACATGTACCCTAAAACTTAAAGTATAAAAAAAAATTTTTTTTTCAGCTTTTCTGCTCTGGTTTCTCCCCATCTTTGTGGTTTTATCTACCTTTGGTCTTTGATGATGGTGACATACAGATGGGGTTTTGGTGTGAATGTCCTTTCTGTTTGTTAGTTTTCCTTCTAACAGTCAGGACCCTTAGCTGTAGGTTTGTTGGAGTTTGCTGGAGGTCCATTCCAGACCCTGTTTGCCTGAGTATCACCAGTAGAGGCTGCAGAACAGTGAATATTGCGGAACAGCAAATGCTGCTGCCTGATCGTTCCTCTGGAAGCTTCATCTCAGAGGGGCACCCGGCTGTATGAGGTGTCAGTCAGCCTCTACTGGGAGGTGCCTCCCAGTTAGGCTACTCAGGGGTCAGGGACCCACTTGAGGAGGCAGTCTGTCCGTTCTCAGATCTCAAACTCCAAGCTGGGAGAACCACTACTCTCTTCAAAGCTGTCAGATAGGGACATTTAAGTCTGCAGAAGTTTCTGCTGCCTTTTGTTCGGCTATGCCCTGCCCCTAGAAGTGGAGTCTACAGAGGCAGGCAGGCCTTGAGCTGCGGTGGGCTCCACCCAGTTTGAGCTTCCTGGCTGCTTTGTTTACCTACTCAAGCCTCAGCAATGGCAGGCACCCTTCCCCAAGCCTCGCTGGCACCTTGCAGTTCAATCTCAGACTGCTGTGCTAGCAATGAACGAGGCTCCATGGGTGTGGGACCCTCCAAGCTAGGCGCAGGATATAATCTGCTGGTGTGCCGTTTGCTAAGACCATTGGAAAAGCACAGTATTAGGGTGGAGTGACCCCATTTTCCAGGTGCCATCTGTCACAGATTCCCTTGGCTAGGAAAGGGAATTCCCTGACCCTTTGCGCTTCTCAGGCGAGGCAAAGCCTCACCCTGCTTCAGCTCTTGCTCGGTGGGCTGCACCCACTGTCGTGCACCCACTGACAAGCCCCAGTGAGATGAACCTCAGTTGGAAATGCAGACATCACCCGTCTTCTGCGTCACTCACCCTGGGAGCTGTAGACTGGAGCTGTTCCTATATGGCCACTGCGGAACCTAGGATTTCGATATACATTTCTATATATGTGTTGTCTGCAAATAAGTCTTACTTCCTTTCCAATCTGTATGTTTTTTTTTTTGCCTTATTGCAATTGCTAAGGCATTCAGTATAATTCTGAATAGAAGTGCCAAAAACAGACATTCTTGCTTTTTGTTTTTTGAGATGGGGTCTCGCTATGTCACACAGGCTGGAGTGCAGTGGAGTGATCCTATGACCTCAGCCTCCTATGTAGCAGGGACTGCAGGTGCGTTCCACCATGCCCACCTTTTTTTTTTTTTTTTTTTTTTTTTTGTAGAGATGGGATGTCACTACAGACTGGTCTTGAACTCCTGGGCTCAAGGAATCCTCTTGCCTTGGTCTCCCAAAGTGGTGGGATGACCAGCGTGAGCCACTGTGCCTGGCCCTTGTTTTTTTTCTAATTTTTATAACTGCATAGTAGATATATTATATATTATATTACATATGTTATATATATTATGTTATATATAATATATACATTATATACATAATATATAATATATAATAGTATATATTATAATATAATATACAATTATATACTAATGTATAATAATTATATATATAATAATTATATATTATATATAATATATATCTATGGGGTACATGAGATATTTTGAGACAGGAATATTTTGAGACATTGTATAATGTGTAATAATCACATCAGGGTAAATGGGTATCCGTCACCTCAAGAATTCATTTCTTTGTTAAGAACATTCCAATTGTACTCCCTCAGTCATTTTGAAATGTATAATAAAATATTGCTTACTGTAGTCACCTTGTTGTGCTATCAAATACTAGATCTTATTCATTGTATCTAAAAATATTTTTGTACCCATTAACCATCCATTCTCTCCCAACCCCCTACTCCCCTTCCTAGCCTCTGGTAACCATCATTCTACTCACTATCACCATGAGTCTAATTTTTAGCTCTCACAATGAGGACATGCAAAGTTTGTCTTTGTGTGCCTAACTTATTTCACTTAACAGAATGTCGTCCAGTTCTGGAAGGTTATTAATAATTATTGATTCTATTTCTTTACTGGATATAGGTCTACTTAAATTATCTACTCATACACTTTTTTTTTTGAGACAGAGCCTTGCTCTGTCACCCAGGCTGGAGCGCAGTGGCGAGATCTTGGCTCACTGCAACTTCCGCCTCCAGGGTTCAAATGATTCTCAGGCCTCAGCCTCCTGAGTAGCTGGGATTACAGGTGCCTGCCACCATGCCTGGCTAATTTTTGTATTTTTAGTAGAGATGGGGTTTCGCCATGTTGGCCAGGCTGGTCTCGAACTCCTGACCTCAGGTGATCCGCCCACCTTGGCCTCCCAAAGTGCTGGGATTACAGGCCACCATGCCTGGCCCCTCTTTACTCTTCCCTCTCCTCCCGGTGCTGTGAGTTGTGCTGCCTGAAGTTGGGGAAGGGGTGACATAAGCTTTCCCTTGGCTGCCCCAGCTGGTGTCTCACTAGATCGTGTGGACCCCAAATCCACTGGCTCTGAGCCCAACACAGCACCAGGACTTGTGCAGGAATTGCAGTCCTTGTGGCCTAGACTGCCTTTCAAATTTATTTAGCACCCCAGAGCACCTTAGCCCATGGTGGTGGGGCTAGCTGGAACTCAAGTTCCGACTGCTAGGATGGACGATTTGCCTCTGGCTATGTCTGTTCTAAATGCTTCTGCTGTGGGCACTGGCCAAATTCTGCCATGTGTTGTTTTCTGCTGTGACAGGGCTGCAGTGAGTTCCAATGCAAAGTCTCACAATCACTTCGCTTTCCCTTCCCCAAGCACACAGATTCTCTCTCCACATCATACTGCACTGCTGGATGACGGAGGAGGTGTGGTATAGGCAATTCAAGACTATCTTTCCTAACCTCTTCAGTGCCTCTTTCCTTAATATGTTAAAACCAGGTACTGTGATTGCTCACCTGAGTTTTAGTTCTTCTGAAAGTGCTTTCTTGTGTGGATAGTTGTTCAAGTTGGTGTTCTTGCTTGGGGGACAAATGCTGGAGGGTTCTATTCAGCCATCTTGCTCTGCCTTCCCTGCTTGTTCTTGAACTTAAAAGAAAGAATTTCAGATTTCCATCATTAAGTATAATTCTAGCTGTGGGGTTTTCACAGATGCCTTTAAGGAAGTTCTCTTCTTTTCCTAGTTTACTCAGAGTTTAAATTGGGAAGAGCTATTACATTTTGTCAAATGCTTCTTCAGCATCTGTTAAGATGATGATGATTTTTTGTTCTACTAATATCAGAATTTATATTGATGGATTTTCTAGTGTTAAATTAACCTTGCAATCCTGGGAAAGCTTCTCTTGGTTATGATGTATTGTTCTTTTCCTATATTGATGGGCTTCAGTGAATCGATATTTTGTTAAGAATTTTTGCATATTTATCCTGGGCACAGTGGTGCATGCCTGTAATCCCAGCACTTTGGGAGGCCTAGGCGGGAGGATCTCTTGAGCTCAGGAGTTCAAGACCAGCCTGGGCAACAAAGCAAGACCTTGTCTCTACAAAAAAAAAAATAAAATAAAATAAACTTGCTGGGCGTGGTGGTGTATGCCAGTGGTCCCAGCTACCTGGGAGGCTCAGAAGGGAGGACGGCTTAAACCTGGGAGGTCAAGGCTGCAGTCAGCTGTGGGGTCACCACTGCACTCCAGCCTGGGCAATAGAGTGAGGCGTCATCTCTCAGAAAAAAAAAATTTGCATGTTTATGTGGGATTTTTATTTGTAATTTTCTATTTTTGTAATTTTTCTGTTTTTGTTATCGGAGTAAAACTGATTTAATAAAATAACTTGAGAAACAGTCCTACCCCTTCTATTTAAGTTGTGTTTGAATGGTACTATGTCTTTCTTAAATGTTTGGTGAAATTCACCAGTGAACCTCTTTGCACCTGAAATTTGCTTTGCAGGAAAGGTACAAATTAAAATTACAAATTCAATTTCTTTAGTAGACATAGGGCTATTAATATTTTATCTGCCTTCTTGTGTTAGTTTTATGACTTGTGTTTTTCCAGAAATTTGTCCATTTCATTTATCAAATTTATTGGCATAAAATTGTTCATAATATTTCCTATCAACTTTATAATTCTATACTCTGTATAGATTTATTCCCAATTCCTATTTTTATCCCCAATATTGGTAACATTTTTTAAATCCCTGATCAATCTAGCTAGATATTTATCAACTTTATTGATTTTTTAATCTGTTTCCTATTTCATCTATTTCTGTTATCTTTATTATTTCCTTCTTTCTACTTTGTATTTAATTTGTTCTTTCTCTAGCTTCTTAAATGGAAGCTTAGGTTTAGACTTTTTTCTTTTCTAACATTAACATTTAAAACTAAAAATTTCACTGTAATGACTACTTTGGCTTCATCCCACAATTTTTAAAAGTATGTGAATTTTTCTGAAGGACACAATTTTTAATATGTAGTCATTTTATTATCATGTGGTTCAAATTTACTTTCATTATGGTCAGAAAACATACTCTGTAAGATTTTAATCTTTTGAAATACACTGAGACTCATGTCCTAACACACAGCCTACCCTGGTGAATCTTCCTTGTGTACTTAGGGAGAAAAAGTGTATTCTGTATTTGTTAGTTACAGTTCTATAAATATCAATCAGGTCATGGTAGTTAATAGTGTTTTTCAGATCTTTGATTTCTTTACTTTGGTGGGGGCGATCCAGTTTTATTATCAACTACAGAGCGAAAAGTGTCCAACTACGGTTGTAGTTTGACTGTTTTCCCTTAGTTCAGTTGTTTGCTTCATGTATTTTGAAACTGTATTTATTAGGTGCATATACACATGTAATTCTTATAACTTCCCAATGTATTAACTCTTTTATCATTATGAAAGATTCCTCTTAGTCTCCAGAAATCTTCCTTGTATTGATGTCTTGTTTTTCTGGTAAGAATAGAGTTACTACAAATTTCTTGTGCATACTATTTGCATGGTATATTTCTTTCTATCCTTTTACTCTCAGTGTATTTGCATCTTTATATGTAGAATGTCTCTCATATAGACAGTACATCTCATATAGATAGCACATACTTGGTTCTTGCTTTTTTTTTTGGTCCAGTCTGACAATCTCTGCCTTTTGTTTAGAATTTTGGTCTATTTACACTTAATTATTTACATGTTCACTTTTAAACCTACAATCATACCATCTCTTTCCTATTTCTTCTATCCATTATTTGTTTCATTGTCCCTCTTTTCCTACCTCCCTTTATGCTAGTGACATATTTTTTGGCATTCCATTTTAACTCCTCTATTGGTTTTCTATCTATATGTCTTTTCATTATATTTTTAGTGGTTGCTCTTGGGACTACAGTGTATAAATTCAATTTATTCCAGTGTACTTTAGAAAATTTTAGAAAATGTATTGAATTACTTCTTGGCACAGCATGGTGGCTCAGGCTTGTAGTCCTAGCACTTTGGGAGGCCAAGGCGGGCAGATTGCTTGCGCTCAGGAGCTGGAGACCAGCCTTGGCAACATGGTGAAACTCCATCCCTACAAAAAAATCTGGCTGGCGTGATGGTGCGCACCTGTAGTCCCAGCTACTTGGCGGGGCTGAGTCAAGAGGATTGCTTGAACCTGGGAGGTTGAGGCTGCAGCGAGCTGAGATTGCATCACTGCACTCAAGCCTGGGGGACAAAGCCAGACAAAGACAAGCCTGGGGGACAAAAAAAAAAAAAAAAAAAAAAAAAAAAACAGAAAGAAAAGAAAATTTATCGAATTACTTAAGGTAAAACTATAGAAACCTTACAAAATATTCCACTCACCTGTGCCTCATCCTGTATTTTTGTTGTCCTGTGTATTATCTGTATACATTGTAAACACATCAGCACAGTAGTACTATACTTTTTCAGTCACTTGTCTTTTAAAGATATTAAGACATAACAAAAAATCATTATTTTTGTTTTACACACATTTACAATTTCATGTGCTCTTCACTCCTTTGTGTAGATCCAAATATCCATTTAGGTGTCATTTCCCTTCAGCCAAAATGTCTTATAGTGCAGGTCTGCTAGTGAAAAATTCTCTCATCTCTGTTTATCCAAAAATGTCTTTATTTTCCCCTTATTTTTGAAGGATAATTTTTCCAGATGCAGAATTCTTGGCTGAAAGCTTTCTTTTTTCCATCATTTGAATATGTTGGTCCAATGTCTTTTGACCTCCACGGTTTCTGATAAGAAGTGAGGTGTTAACTGCACTGTTGTTCCCTATGTACAATATACCATTTTTCTCTGGACAGTCAATAAGTGGTTTTCTTTGTAATTATCTTGCTTTCAGTCTGCTGTACTACTTGGGTAAGTTAATTTTTTCCCACAAAATGTGAGAAAATTCCAGTCATTATTTCTTCAAAAAATTTTCTATAATTTACTGCTGCCCCTCCTTCTAAGACTCTAATTATACCTATTATGGATTGTTTGATATTGCCCTACATATCTCTTTTCAACTTTATTCCATCTTTTTCTCCCCTGTTTCTCGAAACTGGGTGATTTCTATTGATCTAGCTTGAACTTCATGGCTTCTTTTGCCAATCTGCTTTGTTTTCTAATCTACTGTTGAAGCTATTTAGATTTTTAAAAAATTTCAGTTACTGTATTTTTCAACTCTCAAATTTCCATTTTTATAGTTTCCATTTCTTGGTTGAGATTTTCCACCCCACTCATTGATGTCATAGTTTAACTCATTGAACACATTTACAATAATTGCTTTGAAGTTTCTGTTAAATCCAACAACTAGGCTCACTCAGAGTCAGTTTCTATTGACTGCCCTTTCCCCCTCCTTGAGTATGAGTCACACTTCTGTTTCTTTGCATGCCTAGACACTGGGTTTAACTGTGTTCTTCTAAGAATTGTTGTGGGGTTTTTGTTGTTCTAGTAGATATTAATACTTAACCTGCCTAGATTCGAACTGCAAACTTTGTCTCCCTTGCACAATATAGGTACTGATATCTTTGTTCTTATGGTTTCCAGCTGCTGTTGTTTTAACCTGGCCTCTTGAGGCAGGGGCGGGGGTCCTCTGTTGTGCCTACATAATTTGGCTGTCAGCCAACCACCTGAGCAGTCATTATACTAAAATTTTGCAGTTCACCCTTCGTATGATTTTTCTTGTTTGCAGGGATTCCTCTGTAATTTCTTGCTCCGCCAGCCTTGACCTCTGTCCCCTGACATTTCAAGTTCATAAAATCTCAGCTTTCTGCCACCCAAGTTGCAAATGACTGGGGAATGCAATCAGTTAAAAAAGCCGCAAAGTCACAGATATCACCCTATGCAGCTATCTTGTAAGAATAGATTCCTCTCTGGTATCTGCCTGATTTCTCACCGGGCCCTCAGAGAGTACTTTAACTGTGAGGCAGTTTCACAGATTGGAAGTAGAATCCAACTGCATTGCTCTTCAAATTTTGGAGAGAGTCAGTTGCTCCCCTCTTTGATGGTTCCATAGCACACTGTACATACTAATATTACTATAGCACATATCATGAGGCATTTTGCAGGATACTTAATTATCTTCTCCCCCATTTGAGAATAACCTCTTTTTGTATCCTGTATCCTTGGTAGCTATAAGGTACTTGGATCCAACACGATTAATAAATAAATTTAATCTAATAATATTTGTTAATTTATTCTCATTTCATTGTTCTCTCATACTCTCCCTAACTCCTAATTAAGTAATTTGCATTTCCATCACATATTGCTCCAATTAAACTTTCACAGATAACAAATTATCTAATTTTAACAGTTGTATTGCCAGAGGGAGGAGAAACACAGATTACTAAGGCATCCCGATATTTGGCATCTGCAGAGTGAAACTAGGAAATAACTCCAACAGGCCTCCTAATTAACCCTATTTTCAGACATTGTGAGGTGAATGTTATTCACATTTTAGAGCAAAACAAAGAAAGCTCAGAAACCAGAACACTTTTCTTTTGGGGCTTTGGATTTAAGAAATTGGAAGTGTCAGATTCACCTATACCAGCAAACTGCTGACCCGAGGCTTATCACCCACTTATGGTGTTGATAATGGGATATGCTGCCTGCCACTCTAGTTTCTGTTCACAGTTTTTGGTTAATTTTACTCTTTGGAGACTTCTGTTAATTCTTGCCAGCCTGACTAGCAGGGCAAATTAGTTTCGGTCAGAATCCTGTTTGTTTGTTTGTTTGTTTGTTTGAAGTGGAGAGTCCTTCTAAGTTGGCTATACTCCTGAAGGAAAAAATTCCTGGTCAAGGCTTGTGTTGAATTTCTATCCAGTGACCTTGTTAAACTCCCTCAATTAGGTCCTAGGAGGGTTTTGTTGTTGTTGTTGTTGGGGGTGGGTATATTCCTTGAGATCTTCTGCATAGACAATCATGTCATCTGGAAATAGGGACAGTTTCATTTCTTTTTTCCAATCTGTAAGCCTTTTATTCCCCTTTCCTATTTTGCTTTTTTTGTAGAAATGGTATCTCCCTATCTTGCTCAGGCTGGTCTTGAACTCCTGGGCCCAAGCAATCTTCCCTCCTTGGCCTCCCAAAGTGCTGGGATTATAGGTATGAGCCACCATGCCTGGCCTATTTCCTTTTCTTAACTAATTGCACCAGCTGAGGCTTCCAGCAACATCTGAATAGGAGCAGTAAAAGCAAATATCATTGCTTTGTTCTAAATCTCACAGTCCACAATCAAATGTGGGAGCAATGGGCTGATCTAAGGTTTGAACTTAAAATTAAAAGGAAAGCAGACTGTAAAAGTCTGAAAAATTTGCAACCCAGTCCTGTGGTAGGGAAGGAACAAGCATTTTTAGGAGAGAAATTTAAAGGGGCTGAAGAGCAACCACTTGCAGAAGAAATTAGCAAGACAATGGGAAAAAGGCCTAGAGGCCTAGAAGGACAGAATGGTTTCAGGAGCCCAATCCAAATTCAGGCTGTTCAGGCCCCAGTCAGGGCTCAAAAGGCCCCAGGCATGGCTCAGGCTGCCAATCAGAGGCCCTGGCAGCTTCCATGTGGTGTTAAGTCTGTAGACACACAGAATGCAAGAGCACATTCTGGCAGTTTCCACCTAGATTTCGGAAGATGTATCAGAAAGTCTGCATGCCCAGGCAGAAGCCTGCCACAGGGGCAGAGCCCCCACAGAGAGACTCTACTAGGGCAGTGCCAAGGGGAAATGTGGGGTTGGAGCCCCCATAGAGTCCCTACTGGGCTACTCCTTAGTAGAACAAGGCTGCTGCCCTCCAGAGCTGAGGGTGGTAGAGCCACCAGCAGGTTGTATTTTCAGCCTGGAAAGGCCAAAGGCCCAACTCCCACCTGTGGGAGTAGCCATATGGGCTGTGCCCCAGTAAAGCCAAGGGGTGGGGCTGCCCAAGGCCTTAGGAGCCCACCCCTTGCACCAGTATGCCCAGGATGCAGGACATGGAGTTAAGGGAGATTATTTTGGAGCTTTAAGATTTAATGTCTGCCCTGCTGAGTTCTGGACTTGCATGAGGCCTATTACCGCTTTCTTTTGGCCATTTTTTTCCTTCTGGAATGGGAATGTTTACCCTATGCCTGCACAATCATTGTATCTTAGAATTCAATAACTTGCTTTTCATCTTACAGGCTCACAGCTGGAAGAAATTAGCCTTCAGTCTCAGATGAGATTTTGCATTTTTTAAATTGATAGTGGAATGAGTTAAGACTTTTGGAAATTATTGGGAAGGGATGATTATATTTTGCAATGTGAGAAGGATATGACATTTGGGGGGCCAGGGAAAGAATAATAGTTTGGATATTTGGCCCCTCCAAGTGTCAGGTTAAAATTTGATCCCCAATGTTGGAGGTAGGACCTGGTGGAATCATGGGGACAGATCCCTCATAAATGTCATGGTGCCATTCTCAAGGGATTGAGCCAGTTCTCACTCATAGTTCCTGCAAAATATGAATGTTCTTTTTTCTCTTCCTCCTTCTCTCACCATGAGACATACCTGCTCCCCATTCACCTCTGCCATGGTTGGAAGCTTCCTGAGGTCCTCACCAGAAGCAGATGCTGGTGCCATGCTTCTTGTTCAGCCTGCAGAATTATGAGCCAAATAAACCTCTTTTCTTTATAAATGACTCAGCCTCAGGTATTCCCTTACAGCAATGCAAAATGAACTAAGACAGCTATTCTGAATCTTTTGTCCCTCCATATAAACTTTACAATCAGTTTGTTGATGTTCATAGAACAAATTGCTGGGATTTCGATTGGGATTGCATTGAATCTACCAATTAAGTCAGGAAGAATTGACATCTTGATGACATTGAGTTTTCCTATTCACAAACATGAAATGTTTCTCCATTTATGTAGTTCTTTGACACCTGTCATCACAGTTTTCTATATAAAGATTTTGTAGATATTTTGTTATATTTACGCCTATTTGTTCAATTTCTGGGAGTGCTAATGTAAATGTAAATGGTAATGTATGTTTCATTTCAAATTCCACTTTTTCATTGTTAGTATATAGGAAAGCAACTGAGTTTTGTATGTTAACCTTGTGTTCTGCAAACTCACTATAATTGCTTGTTAGTTCCAAGAGGTTTTTTTCTAGATTCTTTGAGATTTTCTACATAGACAAATCATGTCTTCAGTGAACAAAGACAATTTTATTTCTTCCTTCCCAATCCACATACTTTTTCTTTTTTTGAGACAGAGTCTCACTCTGTCACCCAGGCTGGGGCGCAGTGGTGCAATCTCGGCTCATTGCAACCTCTGCTTCCTGGGTTCAAGTGATTCTTCTGCCTCAGCCTCCCAAGTAGCTAGGACTACAGGTGCTCACCACCATGCCTGGCTGATTTGTATATTTTTAGTAGCGACGAGATTTCACCACACTGGCCAGGCTGGTCTCGAACTCCTGGCCACAAGTACTCCACCTGCCTTGGCCTCCCAAAGTGCTCAGATTACAGGCGTGATCTACCATGCCCGGCCCTGTATCTTTCTTTTCTTCTGTTTTCTTTTTTTGTCACATTAGCTAGGACTTCCAGTACAATGCTGAAAAGGAGTAGTGAGGAGACATCCTTGCCTTATCCCTGATCTTAGTAGGAATGCTTCAAGTTTTTCACCATTAGGTATGATATTAGTGGCAGGTTTTTTGTAGATGTTCTTTCTGAAGTTGAGGAAGTTCCCCTCTATTCCTAGTTTGCTGGAAGGCTTTTTTTTTTTTTTTTTTTTAAATCATGAATGGGTATTAAATGCTTTTTTGGCCTCTATTGAAGGGATCATGTGATTTCTCTTCTTTAGCCTACTGATGTGGTGAATTGCATTAATGGATTTAATTGATTTTCAAATGTAGAATTGACCTTGCATACCTGGGAGAAATCCTACTTGGTCACGATGTGTAATTCTTTTTGAACATTGTTGGATTTGATTTGCTAATATTTTGTTGAGGATTTTTGCATCTGTGTTCATAAAAGATATTGGTCTGTAGTTTTCTCTTATAATTTGTCTTGCTTTGGTATTAGTGTAATGTTGGTCTCATAGAGCTAGTTAGCAAGTAGTCCCTCTGCTTCTATTCTCTGAAAGATTGTTGAGAATTTTTATCATTTCTTCCTTAAATATTTGTTGGAATTCACTCGCCAACCCATCTGGGCCTGGGGCTTTCTGTTTTGGAAGGTTACTAATAATTATTGATTCTATTTCTTTATTGAATATAGGTCTACTTAAATTACTTATTCATAAAACTTTTTTTTTTCCTTTTTTTTTTGAGACAGAGTCTTGCTCTGTCACCCAGCCTGGAGTGCAGTGGCATGATCTCAGCCCAATGCAACTTCCACCTCCTGGGTTCAAGTGATTCTCCTGCCTCAGCCTCCAGAGTAGCTGGGATTACAGGTGCATGCCACCACACCTGGCTAATTTTTTGTATTTTTAGTAGAGATGGGGTTTCGCCATGTTGGCCAGGCTGGTCTCAAACTCCCAGCCTCAAGTGATCCACCTGCCTCGGCCTTCCAAAGAGCTGGCTGGGAATACAGGTGTGAGCCACCGTGCCCAGCCATCATACACCTTTTATAACAAAAATTTAAATTTTAAAAAGCATTTGTTCTACCCAAATTGATCTATAAGCTTAATAATTACAAACAAAATTCCAATGGGATTTTAAAAAGTAACAGATAAGATGATTCATAACTTCATTTGAAATAGGAAAAGCAGCCGGGCGCGGTGGCTTGTGCCTGTAATCCCAGCACTTTAGGAGGCTGAGGTGGGCGGATCACTTAAGGTCAGCAGTTTGAGACCAGCCTGGCCAATATGACGAAACCCCATCTCTACTAAAAATACAAAAATTAGCTGGGCATGGTGGCGTATACCTGTAATCCCAGCTACTCAGGAAGCTGAGGCAGGAGAATCACTTGAACCCGGGAGGCAGAGGTTGCAGTGAGCTGAGGTTGTGCGACTGCACTCCAGCCTGAGTGACACAGCAAGACACCGTCTGAAAAAAAAAAGAAAAGAAAAAAACAAAGAACGTTACTACTGCTGTATGTAGTTGCCACTGCTGCTGCCATCTTCACTAAATTTGAGTTCACCTGGGCCCTGCTTCTTCCTGTCACCAGCTTCTGGTAGAACCTAGGTCCCACGTCTGAGCACTAGGTGTACCAGAGCCTGGGAAAGTGAGCATCTGCCATTTCTGCGCATCTGCCATTTCTGCTTCTTTACACAGAAGTAGATTGTATCTCTGAAGGTGGGAGTTCTGTACACTCCTAGTGTTCTGAGATTCAGACACTAGGATGTCACAAGGAATGACATAATGTCCACAATAGTGGTATATATTAAAATAAAAAAAGACATATTACTCTTTATCCTCAAAATTCCACTGCAAGGAACTTGTCCTACAAACATTTTTTTTCCTTTTTTAACCATAAAATGCAGAGAAAAAAAACCGTATTTTAATGACCATGCAAGAGGATTCATCATATCATAGTCTAACATCAAAAAAATTAAAATCAATAAGAGACTGGCTAAATTTGGTTTTTAAAAATTTTTATTAAAATTTCTTTTTAGTTTCATAGGTTTTTGGGTAACAGGTGGTATTTGGTCACACAAGTAAGTTCTTTAGTGGTGATTTGTGAGGTTTTGGTGTACCTACCACCCAAGCAGTATACACTGAACCTAATTTGTAGTCTTTCATCCCTCGCCCCCTTCTCACCCCTTCCCCGAGTCGCCAAAGTCATTCTTATGCCTTTGCATCCTCATAGTTTAGCTCCCACTTATGAGGGAGAACATACGATGTTTGGTTTTCCATTCCTGAGTAATTATGGTTTTCTAACATTAGAATAACATGCAGCTGATAAAATGATTATTGAATGAATACTTACAATGTACCAGGCACCATGTTGTGCACTGGGAATACCATTGCAAGCAAAATGAATAATGGTCTGAATGAGGTATGAATTTTTTAAATGTCTATTACGTATTTTTTAATTTTAAAATATATATACTAATTATATATAAATATATATAAATTTTAGTTTTTATTTTAATGCCTATAATATATTAAGTAATTTTAAAAAGCTAGCATGATCCCATTGGGAAAGAATTATACATTTAAATATGTTTGTGCACACACAAGGAAAATTTCTGGAGCAATACACAAAAACTGTAGTTATCTAGAGTAGAAATAGATAGGGGCAGGTTCTTACATAAGAATTTCTTACCTGTATTTACAGTTTATGATTATTATTATTTTTGAGATAGAGTCTTGCTCTGTTGCCCAGGCTGGAGTGCAGTGGCACGATTTCGGCTCACTGCAACCTCCACCTCCCAGATTCAAGTAATTGTCATGCCTCAGCCTCCAGAGTAGGTGGGACTACAGGCGCGTGCCACCACTCCCAGCTAACTTTTGTATTTTTAGTAGGGACAGGGTTTCGCCATGTTGGCCAGGCTGGTCTCGAACTCCTGACCTCAAGTGATCCACCTGCCTCAGCCTCCCAAAGTGTTGGGATTATAGGCGTGAGCCACCACACCCGGCCTACTTACAATTTAAAAATAATGTTTATAATTTTTTTTTTTCCAGATGGAGTCTCGCTCTGTCACCCAGGCTGGAGTGCAGTGGAGCCATCTTGGCTCACTGCAACCTCTGCCTCCCAGGTTCAAGTGATTCTCAGTCCTCAGCCTCCCAAGTAGCTGGACTACCATGCCTGGCTGATTTTTTGTATTAGTGGAGATGGGGCTTTACCATATTGTCGAGGCTGGTCTCAAACTCCCAACTCAAGTGATCTGTCCACCTCAGCCTCCCAAAGTGCTGGGATTACTGGCGTGAGCCACCATGCCCAGCCTAATGTTTATAATTTAAAATGGGAAAAATTTATTTTTCAAATGATATGATTATGTACCTTTAAAACATAAGCAAATCAGAGAACCCACTGGAGGGTACAGGGTTTCCTTCTGGAGTGAAGTAAATGTTCTAAAATTAGATAGTGGTGATGGCTGCACAACTCAGAGAATTTTATGGTATGGTATGGAATTATACTTTAATAAAGCTGTTATTAAAAGACCCACTGGAATAAGGTAACACTTTACAAATTAGCTAATACAAAAATACAAAACTAAATCCCTACCAGACAGGAAGGAACACTTTGTCTTCATGGGTAGCCAGACCCACCAACCTCCCAAAGACAGTTCAGGATAAATGAGGGATGTTGGAAGTGATCTGCAGGCTTTCAAGGAAGCTGAACTTGATTTAAGACCCAAGTTAATTTCACATCTGATGTATTAAATTCAAAATGTAGATGAATTTTCCTTTCTATTCTATGGCAGCTCCATACAGCTGTAGTGAATATTATATTAATAAGTTCACTAACTTATGCGATTGTGCCACTGCACTCCAGCCTGGGTGAGAGAGCAAGACTCTATCTCAAAAAAAAAAAGGAGTTTTAAAAAACAATTTTTGTATTAAAAAACTCTCGTGAGTCTATTTTTCCAAAACCATCCGTTTAAAAAATAGAATTATATTTTGTGACTTGCTTTTTTCCACTTAACTGTTTACTACTACCATCCCCACCTGATGTTCCCTTGGAAACCTGGTATGAGGTTTGAAAAAGTTTGCCCCAGGATCTTAAAGATGGAGACAAGCGGTGGTAAACCTGCTCTACTAGTTAGCATCTGGTTGAAGCTACCTTAGTTTCCTCATTTACCAAACAGGGATAATAATACTACCTACCTCATGGGGTTGCAGTGAAGATTATGAGTTAATCCAAGTAAAGCACTTGACATGGTACCTGGCATAAATGCCAGCTATTCTTATTATGTGATGCTTACCATGATTGATATGTTTAACCCTACATAACACATAGTCATTCAAAATCGAAACACTAGCTCCATAAAAAGGCACCAAACCCAAGGAAGTCTTATAGTTTTACTGATCACCAAGAAGCAAATCTCATAAAATGAAAGTTATACTGTACTTCCGCTTAGAAAGACAATATTGTAAAGACATTAACTCTCCTTTAATTAACTTATAAAACTAACGTAGTGGTTCTGAACTGGTGCAATTTTACCTCCCATACAGGGGCTATTTGGCAATGTCTGGAGACATTTTTTATTGTCACAAGTTGAGGGGTTACTACTGGCAGGCATCTAGCGGGTAGAGGTCAGAGATGCTATTAAATATCCTACAGTGCATAGGACAACCCCATGCAACAAATAATTATACGGCCCAAAGAAACAATCTAATGCAGTCTTCGACAAAATTATTCTAAAATTCATTTGGGGGAACAAATGGGTACAAATAGCCAGGACATTTTTTTGGGGGGAAAAATAGTAAGGAGACACATACGTACATATGTATGTATTCCCCATATGTTGAATTGTAATCCCCAAGGTTGGAGGTGGGGCCTGGTGGGAGGTATTTGGGTCATGGGGGCATATCCCTCATGGCTTGGTGCTGTCTTCACAATAATGAGCTATTGAGAGATCTGGTTGTTTGAGTCTGTGGCACCTTTGCACCCCCACTCTCACTCTCTTGCTCTCTCCATGTGATGTGCCAGCTCCCACTGTGCCTTCCACCATGATTGTAAGCTTCCTGAAGTCTCATCAGAAGGTGAACAGATGCTGGCACCATGCTTCCTGTACAGTCTTTGGAACTGTGAGCTCTTTTCTTGATCAATTACCCAGTCTCAGGCATTTCTTTTGTTTTTTAATTAAAAAAAATTTTTATATAAAAGTCTTTGATCCATTTTGAATTGATTTTTTGCATAAGGTGAGAGATGAGTATTCTCAGGGATTTCTTTACAGTAATGCAAGAACAGCCTAACACATATACTGCTTTATGAAATCCCGAAAGATATATCAAACTATAAAAATAAAACAGGAAAGTTATGCTATTGAATAAAGAAATCAATGAAACATAATGGAAAACCCAGAAACACAAGTAAATAAAATAATTTGGTATAAAAATATGTTACGGGCCAGGTGTGGTGGCTCACACATGTAATCCCAGTGCTTTGGGAGGCCAATGTGGTAGGACCACTTGAGGCAAGGAGTTCAAGACCAGTGTGGGCAACATAGTGAGACCCTGTCTCTACCAAAAAATAAATAAATTAATTTAAAAAATTAGCCAGGCATGGTGGTGTTTGCCTATAGTCCTGCCTACTCAGGAGACTTGAGGCAGGAGATTACTTGAGCCCAGGAGTTCAAGGCTACAATGAGCTATGATTCTGCCACTGCACTCCAGGTTGGGTAACAGTGAGATTCTAAAAAAAAAAATGTTACAAATAATTGGAGAAAAGATAATTGTTTTAAAATGACTGACACAATTGGTAACACCATATTTTATAATCTAATATGTGGAATGTTTCCATAATACATATATAACCAGGATGTATCCTATAATTAATGTGTGCATTTCATGTGGTAGTGTTTCTTTTTAGAAAAGGTGTTTTTAAAATGACAGCAAGTCTTAGATTTGTTGTTATCTTAGAAATAAGGCAAGAAATTAAATTTTATCCTTAAGTAAAATGACTAACTATTTAAGAAAGAAGGACAAAACTAAAGGTCTAAACATGCCATAGAAGGTCTGAGTATATCATGGAAAGTTTGCGAAGGATGAATTTACAAAAGAAATTTGTGGTGACCAAGTTGGCTATAATTAGAAGAAACTTACTTATAAGTATGTCTAAAGACTGCTTCAATTAAAAAATACGTGTATATATATTTATATACACATTGATATGAAAACTAAAATTCTGGTCTCCTATATTAGAACAATGTTTTCTTGAAGTATTGATCTGCTTTTAATAACATTTGCAAGAGATTTTGACCTAATTCTGAAATTTGTTTCTTAAATTTTCAACTATCTTCTGAAGTGCAGCTTTTTTGTTTGTTTTTTAGTCTTCCTTTCTCTAATATCAGTTTTAAAATGAATCTTCTTCATTTAGAATGGTAATTTCATATTTTGAGGTAGAGTTTTCCTGTGGAAGCTTCTCAGATTCATATCTCAGTAGTTAAACTTTTGCTGTATCTTGTTTCATGTGATTTGCAGGTCAGACATTTCTGCCTTTTGGTCTTCCACTTTCTCTCCTTGAGACGGTATATCTTTTTGTTTGGTGAGGTGATAATTCTCTTTTAACTTTTTCATCTTCTGTAACTTTTTTTCTCCAGCTCTAACTCTGCTTTAACGGCCTGACACTGAAATGTTCTATCTTGAAGGCCTAGAAAAGTTGTTTTCCTCCAGTATATCCTGATTCTGTGCTCTTGGCTTTCTTACTTTCTTTCTTTCTTTTCTTTTCTTTTTTTTTTTTTAGGAGTACTCATTTTTTAATTTATTTTAGTCAGGATATTTTCTGAAGTAAAATTTCACAGAAAACAAAATTTTATTTTACATGTACATTTCATCTCTTTAAAGTCAAGTTAGCTCTTTTTCTTTAAAAAAAAAAAAAAAAAAAAGACAGTCTCACTCTGTCACCCAGGCTGGAGTGCAGTGGCACGATCTTGGCTCACTACAACTTCTGCCTCCGGGTTCAAGCGATTCTCCTTTCTCAGCCTCCATAGTAGCTGGGGTTACGAATGTGCGCCACTACACCCAGCTCATTTTTTGTATTTTTAGTAGAGACAGGGTTTCACCATGTTGGCCAGGCTGGTCTCAAATTCCTGTCCTCAAGTGATCAGCTCGCCTCAGCCTCCCAAAGTGCTGGGATTACAGGCATGAGCCACAGCACCTGGTCTTGAAGATAACGTTTTTATGACTTTTATTTGAAACATTATTGGTTCTTTTTTTTTTGAGGTGGAGTCTTGCTCTGTTGCTCAGGCTGGAGTGCAGTGGCACAATCTCAGCTCACTGCAACCTCAGCCTCTGGAGTAGCAGGGATTACAGGTGCCCACCACCATGCTGGCTAATTTTTGTATTTTTAGTAAAGACAGTGTTTCACCATGTTGGCCAGGCTGGTCTCGAACCCCTGACCTCAGGTGATCTGCTCACCTCGGCCTCCCAAAGTGCTGGGATTACAGGCATGAGCCACCATGCCTAGCCAGGTTCTTTATTTAAATATTTTGTTTTCTAGCTTTAAGGAAACCTTTTCTTTCTCTTAAGCTACTTATTAGTTTACAGTAATTTGGTATACTTTGTGAACAAAGGTGGAAACATTTTTTTGTCCCTATTTGATTCCTCTAAAATTCAGAAACTATCCATGAGTATTCTTATTTTTTATGGCAAGAATTATTTACCTAAGTTTAATAAAATTTGCTCTCTCTTTATAACAGGATGCAGTTGGAAACATTGGTTATATATATTACCAAGGCTTTAACTAGAGCATCATATTTGAGAATGTGCATATAATGCCTGGCTTCAAGGGTTCCCAGCCTTACAGTGAGTAAGGCTGTTAATACATCTGTTCTTAGATTATAGCCCTGTGCATTGTCTTTGAGTTCCTGTTATACACTGGTAGACTGAACTAAATCTTAAATTCTTCTAGATTCCTCCCATCTTTTCTTCCATGAAATTAGTAAAAACAGGAACTGCTCTGTTCCTGAAATCCTAAAAGCTAAAACTAGATAAATTTTAAGGGGCAAGTCTCATGGCTGATGATGAGTCACACAGAAAGTTCACCAAACCATCCAGTGCCATAACCAGACATTCAAAACTGAAAACCAGGACAATAAGTTGACATTTTCATGCTGCAGACAGCTTTTCCCTAGACGTTAGAACAAGACTACATAATCAGACTCCTACTCCTCTTAATCCTACCTTTTTCACTTGGCAGGATAACGGTGTAATTGAAATTTCACAATCAGCAGCTTCTGTTGGTAACTTGACAGAAACTGGTTTAAGGGATCCTTTAGTCCATCTAGTGGGTGACCTTGGCAACATCCCTAATACAACTGTTGCTCTCTCTCTGCTTTAATTCCACCCAGTCATGGGATCCTAGATGACAAAATTGGTCTATATTATCTATTAGTTAGATAAGGAAATTTCTGTGCTGTTGCTAATACTTTATGCTGTAACTAGATAATGGCCTTTGGGAAAGTTGAGACCCATATATGCAAAATAAGAAAACAGGCCACACAGTTACAAAAGGTGTCACCTAGTTCTCCGTGGTCATTTGATTTATTCAATTGATTCAAAGGTTTAATTGAACCTTGAATCCTAGGTTCATGGCTGAAAACTATTACACAAACCGAGATTATCATTTTACTTTCTATTTTTCTTTTTAAACTTTGTAGCTATTACTTGTTAAAATTCTGCCAAACTACAATGCCTAACAGAATAATGCTGGCCCAGCACTTTGAGGTGATAGGAAACACCTATGGAACTGATAAAATTAAACTTAATAATGAACTCCAGGTAAACTTAGCTTGAGAGCTACTCCCTCCAAACCTCCCTTGTTGCTCAAACGTGGCTAAAAGAGTTTTGACGCTGACTCCTAGTTGTCAATGACTCCCTACAACATGGAATGAGACCAACAATCCAGGATAGGTCCATCCTGGCACTGAGGGATATCAAAACTGAGCTATTTCCAGGCACAGTGGCTCATGCCTGTAATCCCAGAACTTTGGGAGGCTGAGGCGGGTGGATCACTGGAGGTCAGGAGTTCGAGACTAGGCTGGCCAACATTGCAAAACTCCGTCTCTACTAAAAATACAAAAAAATTCTCGAGGAGTATCTTTAGAAGAGCAACCCCAAGACGCATAATCGTCATATTCACCAAGTTGAAATGAAGGAAAAAATATTAAGGGCAGCCAGAGGGAAAGGTCGGGTTACCCACAAAGGGAAGCCCATCAGACTAACAGTGGATCTCTCTGAAGAAACCCTACAAACCAGAAGAGAGTGGGGGCCAATATTCAACATTCTTAAGAAAATAATTTTCACCTCTCCCTCTCCCTCTCTGTCTCCCCTTTCCACAGTCTCCCTCTGATGCCGAGCCGAAGCTGGACTGTACTGCTGCCATCTCGGCTCACTGCAACCTCCCTGCCTGATTCTCCTGCCTCAGCCTGCTGAGTGCCTGCGATTGCAGGCGCGCGCGCCACGCCTGACTGGTTTTCGTATTTTTTTGGTGGAGACAGGGTTTCGCAGCGTGGGCCAGGCTGGTCTCCAGCTCCTAACCGCGAGTGATCTGCCAGCCTCAGCCTCCCGAGGTGCTGGGATTGCAGACGGAGTCTCGTTCACTCAGTGCTCAATGGTGCCCAGGCTGGAGTGCAGTGGCATGATCTCAGCTCGCTACAACCTACACCTCCCAGCCGCCTGCCTTGGCCCCCCAAAGTGCCGAGATTGCAGCCTCTGCCCGGCCGCCACCCCATCTGGGAAGTGAGGAGCGTCTCTGCCTGGCCGCCCATCGTCTGGGAGGTGAGGAGCCCCTCTGCCTGGCTGCCCAGTCTGGAAAGTGAGGAGCGTCTCTGCCCGGCCGCCATCCCATCTAGGAAGTGAGGAGCGCCTCTTCCCGGCTGCCATCCCATCTAGGAAGTGAGGAGCGTCTCTGCCCGGCCGCCCATCGTCTGAGATGTGGGAAGCGCCTCTGCCCCGCCACCCCGTCTGGGATGTGAGGAGCGCCTCTGCCCAGCCGCGACCCCATCTGGGAGGTGAGGAGCGTCTCTGCCCGGCCGCCCTGTCTGAGAAGTGAGGAGACCCTCTGCCTGGCAACCGCCCCGTCTGAGAAGTGAGGAGCCCCTCCGCCCGGCAGCCACCCCGTCTGGGAAGTGAGGAGCGTCTCTGCCCGGAGCGTCTCCGCCCGGCAGCCACCACGTCCGGGACGGAGGTGAGGGGGTCAGCCCCCGCCTAGCCAGCCGCCCCGTCCGGGAGGGAGGTGGGGGGGGCGGTCAGCCCCCCGCCCGGCCAGCCGCCCCGTCCGGGAGGTGAGGGGCGCCTCTGCCCGGCCGTCCCTACTGGGAAGTGAGGAGCCCCTCTGCCCGGCCACCACCCCATCTGGGAGGTGTACCCAACAGCTCATTGAGAACGGGCCATGATGACAATGGTGGTTTTGTGGAATAGAAAGCGGGGAAAGGTGGGGAAAAGATTGAGAAATCGGATGGTTGCCGTGTCTGTGTAGAAAGAAGTAGACATGGGAAACTTTTCATTTTGTTCTGTACTAAGAAAAATTCTTCTGCCTTGGGATCCTGTTGATCTGTGACCTTACCCCCAACCCTGTGCTCTCTGAAACATGTGCTGTGTCCACTCAGGGTTAAATGGATTAAGGGCGGTGCAAGATGTGCTTTGTTAAACAGATGCTTGAAGGCAGCATGCTCGTTAAGAGTCATCACCACTCCCTAATCTCAAGTACCCAGGGACACAAACACTGCGGAAGGCCACAGGGTCCTCTGCCTAGGAGAACCAGAGACCTTTGTTCACTTGTTTATCTGCTGACCTTCCCTCCACTATTGTCCTATGACCCTGCCAAATCCCCCTCTGCGAGAAACACCCCAGAATGATCAATAAAAAAAAAAAAAAGAAAAGAAAATAATTTTCAACCCAGAATTTCATATCCAGCCAGACTATGCTTCATAAGTGAAGGAGAAATAAAATCCTTTACAGACAGGCAAATGCTGAGAGATTTTGTCATCACCAGGCCTGCCTTACAAGAGCTCCTGAAGGAAGCACTAAATATGGAAAGGAAAAACCGGTACCAGCCACTGCAAAAACATACCAAATTGTTTTTGTTTTGTTTTGTTTTTGAGGTGGAGTCTCGCTTGCTCTGTCGCCAGGCTGGAGTGCAGTGGCACGACCTTGGCTTGCTGTAATCTCTGCCTCCCACGTTCAAGCCATTCTCCTGCCTCAGCCTCCCGAGTAGCTGGGACTACAGGAGTGTGCCATCACACCTAGCTAATTTGTGTATTTTTAGTAGAGACAGGGTTTCACCATGTTGCCCAGGATGGTCTCGATCTCCTGACCTTGTGATCTGCCCACCTCGGCCTCCCAAAGTGCTGAGATTGTAGGGGTGAGCCACCGTGCCTGGCCAAACATACCAAATTGTAAAAACCATCAACACTATGAAGAAACTGCATCAACTAATGGGCAAAACAACCAGCTAGCATCATAATGACAAGATCAAATTCACACATAATATTAATCTTAAATGTAAACGGGCTAAATGCCCCAATTAAAAGACTCAGACTGGCAAATTGGATAAAGAGTCAAGACCCATTGGTGTGCTGTATTCAGGAGACCCATCTAATGCAAAGACACACATAGGCTCAAAATAAAGGGATGGAGGAATAAATTACCAAGCAAATGGAAAGCAAAAAACAAAAAGGGTTGCAATGCTAGTCTCTGATAAAACAGACTTTAAACCAACAAAGATCAAAATAGACAAAGAAGGCCATTACATAATGGTAAAGGGATTAATGCAACAAGAAGCGCTAACTATCCTAAATATATATGCACCCAATACAGGAGCATCCCGATTCATAAAGCAAGTTCTTACAGACCTACAAAGAGACTTAGACTCCCACACAATAATAGTGGGAGATTTTAACACCCCACTGTCAATATTAGACAGATCAACAAGACAGAAAATTAACAAGGATATTCAGGACTTGAACTCAGGTCTGGAACAAGTGGACCTAATAGACATCTACAGAGCTCTCCACCCCAAATCAACAGAATATACATTCTTCTCAGCACCACATCTCACTTATTCTAAAATTGGCCACATAATTGGAAGTAAAACACTCCTCAGTAAATGCAAGAGAACGGAAATCATAACAGTCTCTCAGACCACAGTGCAATCAAATTAGAACTCAGGATTAAGAAACTCACTCAGAATTGCACAACTACATGGAAACTGAACAACCTGCTCCTGAATAACTACTGGGTAAATAACGACATTAAGGCAGAAATAAATAATTCTTTGAAACCTGGGTAAATAACGACATTAAGGCAGAAATAAATAATTCTTTGAAACCAAGGAGAACAAAGACACAATGTACCAGAATCTCTGGGACACAGCTAAAGCAGTGTTTAGAGGGAAATTTCTAGCACTAAATGCCCACAGGAAAAAGCCGGAAAGATCTAAAATTGATACCCTAACATCACAATTAAAAGAACTAGAGAAGCAAGAGCTAACAAATTCAAAAGCTAGCAGAAGGCAAGAAATAACTAAGATCAGGGTAGAACTGAAGGAGATAAGAGACATGAAAAACCCTTCAAAAAATCAATGAATTCAGGAGCTGGTTTTTTTTTTTTTTTTTTTTTGAGACGGAATCTCGCTCTGTTGCTCAGGCTGGAGTGCAGTGGCATGATCTCGGCTCACTGCAAGCTCCACCTCCCGGGTTCACACCATTCTCCCGCCTCAGCCTCCTGAGTAGCTGGGACTACAGATGCCTGCCACCATGCCCAGCTAATTTTGTTTTTGTATTTTTAGTAGAGACGGGGTTTCACCATGTTAGCCAGGATGGTCTCGATCTCCTGACCTTGTGATATGCCCACCTCAGCCTTCCAAAGTACTGGGATTACAGGCGTGAGCCACCATGTCTGGCCAGGAGCTGTTTTTTTGAAAAGATTAACAACATAGATAGACCACTAGCCAGACTAATAAAGAAGAAAAGAGAGAAGAATCAAATAGATACAATAAAAAATAATAAAGGGGATATCGCCACTGATCCCACAGAAATACAAAGTACCATCAGAGAAGACTATACACACCTCTATGCAAATAAACTAGAAAATCTAGAAGAAATGGACAATGTCCTGGACACATACACCCTCCCAAGACTAAACCAGGAAGAAGTTGAATCTCTGAATAGACCAATAACAAGTTCTGAAATTGAGGCAGTAATTAATAGCCTACCAACCAAAAAAAGCCCAGGACCAGACGGATTCACAGCCAAATTCTACTAGAGGCACAAAGAGGAGCTGGTACCATTCCTTCTGAAATGATTCCAAACAATAGAAAATGAGGGACTCCTCCCTAACTCGTTTTATGAGGCCAGCATCATCCTGATACCAAAACCTGGCAAAGACACAACAACAACAAAAAAATTTCAGGCCATTATCTCTGATGAACATCGATGCAAAAATCCTCAATAAAATACTGGCACACCAAATCCAGCAGCACATCAAAAAGCTTATCCACCACGATCAAATTGGCTTCATCCCTGGGATGCAAGGCTGGATCAACATATGCAAATCAATAAACGTAATCCATCGACAGAACCAATGACAGAAACCACATGATTATCTCAATAGATGCAGAAAAGGCCTTTGATAGAATTCAACACCACTTCATGCTAAAAACTCTCCATAAACTAGGTGTTGATGAAACGTATCTCAAAATAATAAGAGCTATTTATGACAAACCCACAGCCAATATCATACTGAATGGGTAAAAGCTGGAAGCATTCCCTTTGAAAACCAGCACAAGACAAGGATGCCCTCTCTCACCACTCCATTCAACATAGTATTGGAAGTTCTGGCCAGGGAAATCAGGCAAGAGAAAGAAATAAAGGGTATTCAAATAGGAAGAGAGGAAGTCAAACTATCTCTGTTTGCAGATGACATGATTGTATATTTAGAAACACTATCGTCTCAGCCTAAAATCTCCTTAAGCTGATAAGCAACTTCAGCAAAGTCTCAGGATACAAAATCAATGTGCAAAAGTCACAAGCATTCCTATACACCAATAATAGACAAACAGAAAGCCAAATCATGAGCAAGCTCCCATTCATAATTGCTACAAAGAGAATAGAATACCTAGGAATACAACTTACAAGGGATGTGAAGGACCTCTTCAAGGAGAACTACAAACCACTGCTCAACGAAATAAAAGAGGACACAAACAAATGGAAAAACATTCCATGCTCATGGATAGGAAGAATCAATATCATGAAAATGGCCATACTGCCCAAAGAAATTTATAGATTCAATGCTATCCCCATCAAGCTGCCACTGACTTTCTTCACAGAATTAGAAAAAACTACTTTAAAGTTCATAAGGAACCAAAAAAGAGCCCATATAGCCAAGACAATCCTAAGCAAAAAGAACAAAGCTGGAGGCATCACACTACCTGAGTTCAAACTATACTACAAGGCTACAGTAACCAAAACAGGATGGTACTGGTACCAAAACAGATATATAGACCAACGGAACAGAACAAAGGCCTCAGAAATAATGCCACACATCTACAACCATCTGATCTTTGACAAACCTGACAAAAACAAGCAATGGGGAAAGAATTCCCTACTTAATAAATGGTGTTGGGAAAACTGGCTAGCCATATGCAGAAAACTGAAACCGGGCCCCTTCCTTACACCTTATACAAAAATTAACTGAAGATGGATTAAAGACTTAAATGTAAACCTAAAACCATAAAAACCCTAGAAGAAAACCTAGGCAATACCATTCAGGACATAGGCATGGGCAAAGACTTCATGACTAAAACACCAAAAGCAATGGCAACAAAAGCCAAAATTGACAAATGGATCTGATTAAACCAAAGAGCTTCTGCACAGCAAAAGAAACTATCATCAGAGTGAACAGGTAACCTACAGAATGGGAGAAAATCTTTGTAATCTATCCATCTGACAAAGGGCTAATATCCAGAATCTACAAGGAACTTACACAAATTTACAAGAAAAAAACAAACAACCCCATCAAAAAGTGGGCGAAGGATATAAACAGACACTTCTTAAAAGAAGACATTTACGCGGCCCACAAACATATGAAAAAAAGCTCATCATCACTGGTCATTAGAGAAATGCAAATCAAAAGCACAATGATACACTATCTCACACCAGTTAGAATGGCAATCATTAAAAAGTCAGGAACCAACAGATGCTGGAGAGGATGTGGAGAAATAGGAACACTTTAATCTGTTGGAGGGAGTGTAAATTAGTTCAACCATTGTGGAAGACAGTGTGGTGATTCCTCAAGGATCTAGAACCAGAAATACCATTTGACCCAGCAATCCCATTACTGGGTATATACCCAAAGGATTATAAATCATTCTACTATAAAGACACATGCACATGTATGTTTATTGCAGCACTATTCACAATAGCAAAGACTTGGAACCAACCCAAATGCCCATCAATGATAGACGCATAAAGAAAATGTGGCACATATACACCATGGAATACTATGCAGCCATAAAAAAGGATAAGTTCATGTCCTTTGGAGGGACATGGATGAAGCTGGAAACCATCATTCTCAGCAAACTAACACAGGAACAGAAAACCAAACACTGCATGTTCTCACTTATAAGTGGAAGTTGAACAATGAGAACACATGGACACAGGGATGGGAACATCACACACCCGGGCCTGTTGGGGGGTGGGGGGCTAGGGGAGGGATTGCATTAGGAGAAATACCTAAGGTAGATGATGGGTTGATAAGTGCAGCAGCCACCATGGCATGTGTATACCTATGTAACAAACCTGCACGTTCTGCACATGTATCCCAGAACTTAAAGAATAATAATAATAATAAATAAAAAATTAGCTAGGCATGGTGGCGCTTGCCTGTAATCCCAGCTACTCGGGAGGCTGAGTGGGAGAATCACTTGAACCCGGGAAGTGGAGGTTGCAGTGAGCCAAGATCACTTTGCCTGGGTGGCAGAGTGAGACTCCATCTCAAGACAAACAAACAAACAACACACACACACACACACACACACACACACACACACACACACCCCTGAACTATTATACAAGCTGATTGGCAATGTTTTTGGGAAAACATCTTGATCAAATGAGGGAAATGTGAGTTGTCAGTATCAAAATGGAGTCACTTGGCCAGGCGTGGTGGCTCATGCCTGTAATCCCAACACTTTGGGAGGTCGAGGTGGGTGGATCACAAGGTCAGCAGTTTGAGACCAGCCTGGCCAATATGGTGAAACCCCGTCTCTACGAAAAATACAAAAAAATTAGCCAGGTGTAGTGGCACATGCCTGTAATCCCAGCTACTCAGGAGGCTGAGGCAGGAGAATTGCTTGAATCCGGGAGGTGGAGGTTGCAGTGACCCGAGATCGTGCCACTGCACTCCAGCCTGGGTGACAGAGCGAGACTCGTCTCAAAAAAAAAAAAAAAACCTTGACAAATAGAGCTAGGGAAGGCCATGAAGGGAGGATTATTATGCACAAATGCCTGATAAGTACCACAAAAGGCTCTGCAAAAACCACAACCTTACAGAAAAAAATACTTCCATGAGGACATCTGCCCAGCAACTGCCTGCTCGACCTTGGACTGGAGCCACCCTTGTTATTAATCCTTGCAGATAACGATAATTATCTCAAAACAATTATGTAATCCTCCTCATTTTTCCTTTAAAAGCTTTTGCCTTCCTTTACCTCCCTGAATACACACATAGTTTATTATGGCTCACACACTCCGGTTGCAATGCCATTCCTGAATAAATATCACTTTCTTTTTAGAGAGTCGCTGTCTGTTATTTAGGTTGACATAAGCATGACAACTAAGAAATCATAAAGAAAAGGAGTGGTAGAATTGACTATATAAAAATGTAAAACTTCTGTAATTAAAAAAACAAAATCGAAAGTTGAAAGAAAATTGTAACATGTATGACAAGAGGCTATATTAGTTTCCTAGTAAAAATTACCAGAAACTAGGTGGATTTAAACAACAGAAATTTATCCCCTCACAGTCCTGGAGGCTAAAGGTTTGAAATCAAGGTGTCTACAGAGCCACGTTCTCTTGAAGGCTCCAGGGAAGAATCTGTTTCATGCCTTTTTCTTAGCTCCTGATGTCGCCAGCAGTCCTCGGTGTTCCTTGGCTTGCAGCTGCATAACTTCGGTTTCTGCTTCCACTGTCACATGGCGTTCTTCCCCTGTGTCTTCACATGTTCTTCTCATAAGGACAGTAGTCATGTTGGATTAAGGGTTCACTCTACTCGGCACAACCTCATCTTCACTGATTATATCTGCCAATGACCCTATTTCTAAATAAGGTCACAATCTGAGGTAGTGGGGGGTTAGAACTTCAGCACATCTTTTTAGGAGATACAGTTCCACCTATAACAATCTTTAATATATAAGTAGATTTAACAAATGAGTAAGAAATGTTGGCCGGGTGCGGTGGCTCATGCCTGTAATCCTAGCACTTTGGGAGGCCGAGGTGGGTGGATCACTTGAGGTCAGGAGTTTGAGACCAGCCTGACCAACATGGTAAAACCCTGTCTCTACTAAAAATATAAAATTAGCTGGGCATGGTGGCACATGCCTGTAATCCCAGCTGCTTGGGAGTCTGAGGCAGGAGAATCACTTGAGCCAGGTAGGTGGAGGTTGCAGTGAGCTGAGATTGCGCCATTGCACTCCAGCCTGGGCAACAAGAGTGAAACTCCCTCTCAAAAAAAAAAAAAAAAAAAGGAAAAAAAAAAAGAAACATTATAACACTGCAACAGAAAAATGGGCAAAGGACAAGCATAGGGAATTTGCACACATACCCTATGTGTTTCCAATAAACATAAGCAAGATGTCTGGCTGTACTGCATGTGAGCACACTCCTTTATCTCCAACCTCACTAGCTGCTCTTCCTCCCTTGGGACACTATGGTGTTCCCTTGGGCTAGGTTCTGGATGTTCTTCCTCTTGTCACCTCAACCTAGATGATTTTATCCAGGTCAATGACTTCACTATAACCTATGCGCTAACAAGACTAAATTTGTATCTCTAGTCAGGACTTTTCTTCAGAGCTCTAAACTCAGTACAAATGTTATACTTGGCATCTCCAGTTGGCTATTCCACAGGCATCGTTAAGTTTTATACCTTCAAAACAGAACTCTTGAATCTTTCCTCTAACCCTGTTCCTCCCAAGTCTGCTTCATTTCAATGCATGACACCAACATGCATTCAGTTGCTCAAGCCAGAACTCAGGGCATCCTTCTTCATTCCTTCCTTTCCCTTGTTATCCACATCCAAGTTATCAGGACCTGTTGATTTTATTTACTAAATATCTACATCCCTCCACTCTCCCAGTCTGTACCACCACTCCAGTCCAAGCTACAGTTATTTCTGACCTGGACTACTACAGCCAACCTTCTAACTGATCTCCCTAATTTCACTCTTCCCCTCTTACAGTAGGGTGACTACACTTCTGCTTTGTTTGGGACAGTTCCAGTTTTCACCTGTTGCTTGACATCCTGGTCCAGTTAGCATCCCTTTTCATTTGCAAAAGTTTCCCAATTGGATGATAAATTATATGGTCTCCCTACCTTACCATCTTTTCTTTTCACAGTAGCTAAAGTCATCTCTAAAAAATGTAAATCAAGGCTAGGTGCAGTGGCTCACGCCTGTAATCCCAGCACTTTGGGAGGCCGAGGCGGGTGGATCATGAGGTCAGGAGATCTAGACCATCCTGGCCAACATGGTGAAACCCCGTCTCTACTAAAATACAAAAAATTAGTCAAGCGTGGTGGTGTGCTTGTAGTCCCGGCTACTCGGGAGGCTGAGGTGGGGGAAATTGCTTGAACCTGGGAAGTGGGGGTTGCAGTGAGCCGAGATCGCACCACTGCACTACAGCCTGGGCAACGCAACAGAGCAAGACTCCATCTCCAAAAAAAAAAAAAGTAAATCAAATCATGTCACTGTCCTGCTTAAACCTTCAAAGATTTCTTACTGTATTACAATAAAATCCAAATCCCTTATTGTGGTCTCCAAAGCCCTATAACCTAACCTACCTACTTCTCATCTCTTCTGACTCTGTCCATCAGTCGTTACATTGCAGCCTCACTGGCTTTCCATTCTTCCAGTAAGTCATGCTCATTCCCGCCTCCAAACTTTTGGTTTTGTTGTTCCCTTTGACAATGCCTTATTCATCTAGATCTTATAACTAATTTGTTGTCATTTTAGTCTCAGGTCAAATATTAACTCTTCAGAGAGGCCTTCTCTGAAAACACAATCAAATGTTCCCAATCCCACCAAAGTTACTATTATACTGTTCTCTTATTTGTTAGTTTGTTTACTGCCTATCTTTCCACAGTAGAATGTAGTTCCATTATCATCTTGTTCACCTCTGGTCCCCAGGGTTACAGCATATGCTCAATAAATATTTATTGAATAAATGAATCATAATAAAAAAATAAAAAATAATGACATCTTATGGAATCTGGCTATCAAACAGCAAAGATTAAAAGAACAAAAATACCGTATTTTTTCCCCTAACACTCTGTATTATCACCTGACATTACATTTATAGTGTTGTTTACTATCTGTGTCCCCTCAGTAAAATGAAATCTCCATGACGGCAGGGACTTGGTTTTCATAGATGTATTCCCAGCACCTCTAAGAGTGCCTGGTATATAATAAGTGTTCAATAAATATTTATGGAATAATGTAACAATACCTAGGGGTGACTAGGCAGCAGAGAAAGAGATATGATTGGCCATATACCACTGGTAAGAATATTAATGCACAATTTCTGTAGGAAATTTGGCAATACAGTTGATTCATGAACAACACAGGTTTGAACTGCATGGGTCCACTTACAAGAGAGTTTTTTTCAATAAATATATTGGAAAATTTTTTGGCGATTTATAACAATTTGGAAAACTCACAGATGAACTCCACAGCCTATAAAAATTGAAAAAAACTAAGAAAAAGATATGTCCTGAATGCATAAAATATATGTAGATACTAGCCTATTTTATCCATTTACTACCATAAAATCAACACAAATCTATTATACAAAGTTAAACTTTATCAAAATTTATGCACACAATCACTTACTGACCATAGATGGTGACATCTGCAGTTGACAGAAATGTAAAGATGCAATATTAACTCACAACTGCATATTTTTAAATTCATTATTTTTTTCTTTTTAATTTGTATCACAACTGCATAAAATTTACCATAGACTACACTGTACTACCGTGATAATAATGTCCTACTACCACAGACATCTGCTGCTGCTGTGGTGGGCTCAAGTGTTGTGAGGATCCACTTAAAACGCCACGTGACACTAATCAATTTCTGCACTACTTCCCAGTAAACTGTGTATCACGGTAACAAGTGTTCTCTCCTGGGTTTTTTTCCACATATACTTGTTTAATCATGTGTAGGGTAATATCGTAAACCTTGAATAACACCATGAAACCCATACAAAGTGCTTAGTGATGCTGGATGTGCTCTCAAGAAACAGAGAAAAGTCATGACATAAGAAAAGCTGAATCGCTTGAGATGTACCGTAGATAGAGGTCTGCAGCTGTGGTTGTCCCCTATTTCAGACAGATGATTTATCTTGTAAACAGACGATGTAAACCTATGGTATTGACAAATGCAGTATAGTACTGTAAATGTATTTTATCTTCCTTATGATCTTAACATTTTTCTCTTGCTTACTTTATCGTAAGAGTCCATATAACATACAAAACATGAGTTAACTGCTTATGTTACTGGTAAGGCTTCCAGTCAACAGTAGGCCACTGGTAGTTAAGTTTTCGAGGAGTCAAATGTTACATGTAAATTTTCAACTGCACGGGGGGGTTAGCAACCCTAATCCCCGTGTTCTTCAAGGGTTAGCTACATATAAAGTAGGGCACACCTTTTGACTCAGCAATCTAACTTCTAAGAGGAACTTAATAAACAAATGAACAAGAGTACAAAGATTATGAGGGAATTTTTCACTGGGTTCTTAGAGAAAATTTAGAAACGAAGGCATAATATCCATTAAGAGGAGGTCATAAAAACATGTATGGGGAGGACACATAGGTATGTATGTATGCACATGTGTGTATGCAAGTAAACATTTACATAGACATACATCAAAATGTTAACATTGGTTATCTTTGGATAGTGAGATTACGGGCAATTTTAATTTTCTTCTTTATACATTTATAAAAATTGTATAATTAGATCAACAAAATTAACCATCTGAAAATGTTCTGTTTTTATAAGTAAAAAAACGAAAAACAAAAAATCCCAAACGAAAAAGCCATGATAAACACAGAAACACACCTCATCGACTCAGTGAAGACTAAAGCCCAGGTTAAGAATCAAGAGTTCAGAAATGTCAACTTCAGCATTAGACATGGCTTTCTCAAGTTCAAGCAAGTTACTTCCCCTTAGTCAATATCTATTAAAAAAAAAAAAAAAAGATGTAAAAGTTGCTTCTTTTATTTCATTGCCTGTGAAGCTCAAGAGGGACAGGCCTGGGCTTAGAAACAACACAAAAAGTGGCAAAAGCTATCATTTATATGAGATCCTTTCCTTGCATTTGTCTCATTAAAAATTTAAAACCATCCTGCTAGGTAGGCATTAATGTTCTCAGGCTCAAAAGCTGAGAGTTGACAGAACTTTCCAAAACTCAAATAGTTGCTATGCTGGAGATATTGATTCAGAAGTCTCTCTGACCTCAGAGCCTTCAGGAAAAGCTACAAAGAAAAGGGCACTTTTAGACTTTATAACCTTGCAAGTCTCTCAATGCCTCTGATCTTTTACATGGTTATCATACCACTCTTATCTAATTTGCAAAAAAGATAAAACGAGAATAAGCTTGGAGCTTTTAGAGAGCTGGAATAAATATCTGGAGAAGCACGATTTAAATTGGGTACTGCTCTCTGGAACTTGCCCCTCATTTCGATTCAACTCAAAGGCTCAAGATCAAAATGCTTGCTTGAGTGGTCACAAGTGAGGGAAACAGTGAGAGACTACGCCCATGTACGTATGTGAAAGACCACAAAAGACTGAGATAAGCATGGCATCTGACCACTGAAGAAGGAAGCTGGACCAGAATGAGGGAAAATGGACAACACTTGGGAGGAAAGGAAGCAAGTGGGAAGGACAAAGTTAAACAGGTAGTGAGAGAAGAGGCTATAGGAATGAGGAGGAACTAGGAGGAAAGAAGTATTTTTTCCCTTCCACCTTTTTTCTCTCTCTACTCTTTTCCTTGATGATCTCAGTCACTATTAGGCCTTCAATACTCCTTTCTGTTTGCATGATTGCCAAATATCTCCATTCTTGCCTTTTCTCCAACTACTGAGCTGGCCACATCCATCTACATTTCCTATTAACACTGTAAATCCAACAGGTCCAACCTGAATTCAGCATCTCCTTCATCTCAAGCCTGCTGCTACTTTTATATGCACTTCTCTTATACTTATCAAACATCCATCTAAACCATTCTCTCTCCCCATATTCTTTCAATCGTTCCTTCATCCAACAAATACTTATTGTGCATCTATTATGTCCGATACATTCAGCCACAGCCCTAGATATATCCATTCACTCATGAAGTCGGGTCATTTCTATCTTGGAAATCTCTTCTCTCACTACCTCATGAGCTGCCTAACTCAACTAAATTTGTCTCTAAGACGTCCTGAGAAACCCTCTTGCTTGAAAAATAATATATATTAACTAGTTTTGCATGCTATTCATTCTATAGTGATCATCTAGCACTTGGCACTGTACCTCGGGCACAGAAGGGGTTCCCAATGGAGGTTTAGGGACTGTAAACCAGCTAGAAAGGGAACAGGGGCAGCAGAAGCTAGGAAACGTCTTGAACGAGTATTTGCATAGGAAGCATGGTAAACTGTATGATCTATACACATAACATCAGCTTGATAATCCTTGTGTTTCCGGGGGATGGCTCTGGGAGGCTGGGGAGATCGTTGGAAGCCTTCTGAGAGAAAGCTCCACCTCCCACCGCTTGAGTAGGTCCTCAACAACCACCTGATGATGTATCACCTTCTGAGGGGACCATGGATATTGTGTTCGCCGTTGTATCCCCGGCCCCTACAACATCTGGCTCATAGTAGGGATTCAATAAACATCGATGCAGGATTCTCGAAAGGCAGATAATTCACCACCTCATGAACGACAAAGACGAAGGGGTTCTGAGGGAAACAGAAATAGCGCGCGAGGTTTCCTTCCCTATTCCTTCAGGGCTTGGTACAGGGTAAGTGCTGAGGAAATAAATCGCCCTCCTGTACAACTCCAAAATCGGGCCCCTCGCTCTGCAGTCAGGCCCTGGAGCGCGGCCACCATCTGGCCCAGGCCCGCGCTTCCCTCCCTCCCAGCCTGGGCTCCTGTTACCTCCCTGCACACATCTGTGTCCACCACAGGCCGAAGAATTACGCGCTCCCGCTTTCCTGCATCGGCCCGGCCAGTACACCCGAGCCCCCACGTCCCGCCGAGGCTCCGAGGACGCCCGCGGCCCCGGCCTGAGACCCCAGCCCCTGCAGCAGGCGCGCCAGGAGCTCGTCCATGTGCTCGGCCGCTTTCCAGCCGCAGTCCTCTCGGGCTTCAGCGCTGAGCCTGGGAGGCCCGGCCTCCCCGGTCCCTGCCCTGGCCCCTGCCCCGGCCCGCCGCGCTCCCCGGGGCCCGAGAGGCCCGGAAGGAGGCAAGGCGGGAAGTGGCTGCAGCTGTGAGGCGCCAGGGGCGGGAAGCGGGCGGCGGGCCCAGCCGAGGGTCGCGAAGACGCGCGCCCCCAAACGAGGCGACGCTCACTCACCACGGTCCGGCGGGGCAGCGCGCCGGAGGTTCGCGACAGGGCCCGGCGCGGCCTCCGCGACCGGCCCGGGCGGGCGCCCCCGGAGCTCTCAGAGCCGCTGTCGTCCGAGATCACGATGAAATCCTCCATGGCTGCGGGCCCCGACCGAAGACCCAGGCAGTGGCGGCGGCGGCGACGACTTCGGTTCCTGCTTCTGAGGTGGCGGCGGCGGGGCGGCGGCAGCGGCGGCGGCTACAACCCGGGCCACCGCCACGCCGGCCCCGCCCCGAGCCCCGCCCCGCCGGGCCGCCAAGCCCCGCCCACCGGCGGCGGGCGGCTGGGGTCAGGGCCGGGGTCGCTGTGCTTCGTGGCGGCGCGGGTCCTCCGTTTCCCAGGAGGAAAAAAAAAAAGAAAAATGGAGTCGCAGCCGGCTTCGGCAGGTGTTGGGGCCAGGCGTGCGAGACGCCGAGGCCGCGGGGACTTCCCCACCTGCTTCCAACCGACGAAAGCGTGAAGTGAGGCGCGCCCAGTCCCACCCTGCCCAGGTGTGAAGCGCCTCCCGGACTGAGAGGGCCTTGACTGAGGGGCAGGGAGAGAGGTCCTGGCCCCCGAGTGACCGAGGGTAGGTGACCTGGCTTCTGGCCGAGCTAAGGGAGAGAGAGAGACCCCACTTTTTGGTGCACACGCCCATGTGTATCTGTAGGATAAATGCCTAAAAGCGGACTTATTGGGGCAAAGGCCATGTTTTTGTAGTTTTGATAAATGATGCCAAATTACCCTCCTAAATTGTACCAGTTTGCGATTTCACCAACAATATGTGTCTCTCAGGAGTTTAAACTGAGATTTAGAGCAGGGGTGTCCAATCTTTTGGCTTCCCCAGGAAGAAGAATTGTGTTGGGCCATACATAAAATACACTAATGATAGCTGATGACCTAAAGGAAAAGAGTTGCGAAAAAAAAAATCTCTTAATGTTAAACAGGGAGTTAAACAAGTTTGACGTAGACAGTTGTTCAGTTGGTATCAGGATCAGAAGCTGAAAAGGTGCACAAAAGAAGCCATGAAGTAGCAGAGGCCATGAATAATTAGATGTTGTGAATAAGCAGAAGTTATAAAGGTGAAAAAGGTTGTCCCCAGTAGAGGAATCGGTGGGTAGTTGGCTGGTTGGTTGGTTTTAGGGCAGGACCATTAAAATCAAGATAGGACCTATTGGTACACTAAATGTGGGGTATTGACAAAATCCTGCTGCTCAGGCTCCAGAAGTTTTGCAAAATATGTTAACAGATCCAAAGAATAATGTGTTTAATAGGAGGGGAATTTGTTCCTAAAGGAATGGTTATCAGGTGCTCTCCAAGCACTGTCTAATGCAGTGTTTTTCACACTTTGGTGAGCATCAGAATCCCCTAGAGTGTTTGTTAAGACAGATTGCGGCCGGGTGCGGCGGCTCACGCCTGTAATCTCAGCACTCTGGGAGGCCGAGGCGGGTGGATCACTTGAGGTCAGGAGTTCGAGACCAGCCTGGCCCACCTCGTCTCTACTAAAAATACAAAAATTAGCTGGGCATGGTGGCAGGCGCCTGTAATCCCAGCTACTTGGGAAGCTGAGGCAGGAGAATTGCTTGAATCTGGGAGGCGGAGGTTGCAGTGAGCCGAGATCGTGCCATTGCACTCCAGCCTGGGGGACAGAGCAAGGCTCCATCTCAAAAAAACAAAAACAAAAAACTCAACAAAATACAGATTGCTGGGTTGCTGGTATGGTTTGGATCTGCGTCCCCACCCAAGTCTCATGTTGAATTGTAATCCCCGATATTAGAGGTGGGGACTGGTGGGAGGTGATTGGATCATGGGGGTGGTTTCTTATGAATGGTTTAGTACCATCCCTTTGGTACGGTCCTTGTGATAACGAGTTCTCTTGAGATCTGGTTGTTTAAAAGTGTGTGGCACCTCCCACCTCGCCCCTTTCCCCATGTGATGTCCACTCCCCCTTCGCCTTCCGTCTTGATAGTAAGGTTCCTGAGACCTCCCCAGAAGCAGATGCTACTATGCTTCCTGTACTGCTTGCACAACCGTGAGCCAATTAAACCCCTTTTCTTTATAAATTACTCAGTCTCAGGTATTTCTTTATAGCAATTCGAGAATGAACTAACAATCACACATCAGATTTTCTGATTGAGAAAAAGAATTTTGGGGGTGGGGCCCTGAAATTTGCATTTCTAACAAGTGCCCAGGTGATGTGGATGCTGCTAGTCTGGGGACCACACTGTGAGAACCACTGGTCTGGTGGACGGGGAGTTTATGCCCAGCAGATTTCAGACATTCTGGTCCAATGGGTGAAGTCACCCTTGTGAAAGGATTCATTAAGTTGTCTTCATCTAAAGCTATTAAACATTTAGGGTTGTGATCTCTCACACCTGTAATCCCAGCACTTTGGGAGGCCGAGTTGGGAGAATAGCTTGAGGCCAGGAGTTTGAGACTAGCCTGGGCAATATAGCAAGACCCTGTCTCTACAAAAATAAAAACAAATTAGCCAGGTGTGGTAGCGCATGCCTGTGGTCCTAGCTACTCAGGCAGCTGAGGCAGGAGGATCCCTTGAGCCCAGGAATTGGAGGCTGCAGTGAGCTATGATACTGCCCCTACACTCCAGTCGGGGCAATAGGGTGAGACCCTGTCTCAATAAAACAAAACGAAACAAAATACACAACCATTTGGTGTGTCTGACTACCTGCTTGCTGAAACACTGTCTTCTGTAGGTTTCTGTGATGCTGTACTTCTCTCACCACTTTTTTTTAGTCTCCTTAGCTGACGCCTACTCCTCTACTCACTCCTTAAACTCTTGATGTCCCTTAGAGTCCTGACATTGGCCACCTTTTCACACGGGACCTCTTCCCTCTACAATCTCAACTATTCCCTGGCTTCAGTGATTGGTTTTATGCCAATGGCTGCCACGAGTTTATCTCAGCCCAGTCCTGTCCTTAAAACTCCAGTTGTATACATCCAAACATCTGCTGAAGCTCGTAGGCCTCTCAGGTTGAATATGTCTAAAGCCAAACTCACCTTTATGCTCCCCACACCCACAAAAAAGCCTGCTCTCTTTGTGTGTCTTATGGTGATGGCTCCACCAGCCAGCAATTGCTGAAGTGAAAAACCTGAGCATTGCACTTGATCTCTCCCCTTTCCTCAACAAGTCCTGTCTGTTTTACCTCCTAAACATCTCCTGCATCCCTCTACTTCTTTTGGCCTCTGCTGCTGATTCTAGCCAAGCTCTGGCCTACTCTACTGTGGCAAGACACAAGAGTGTTCAGATTGTATCTTTCTCATCAGCCATCCTGCCTGAAATACAGGAAACTCAGGACCCCTGGTGGTATAATACGAGAACAGCTTAAAAGTACCCTGCCCTTACTTGGCAACCCAGGTGGGATGAATACTGGCTGTGAAGTTGCCCTCCTTAAAACTATAAGTAATGTCACTTATGTTTCCTTGGCCATCCTGGATTTGTCTTGAAGTGTGCCGTTTACCCAAGACTTCCAAAGTGATTGTATGTTTTTCAGAAATTGGTGTATTTTTTTTAAGGTGACACTTTTTCATAGACTCACTCCCCCCAAACCATACATTAGTCTCATGTAAATTGAGAGGCTAATGTAGTATTTTATGCATCCAGTGAATACTGTATTTGGTGAGTACCTGCTAGATGCTAGGCTTATGTTAGGGGTCGGGGATAAAGCAGTGAGCAGGACAGCTATTACCTCTGTTCTCAAAGAGCTTAGCAGTTAAGGAGGTATCACTAGTTGGTTAATGAAGAAAAAATTGTTTCTTTTCTTTTAAAATAATTTTTAATGAAAAATTCATACATGAAAAAATGTGTGAAGATGCAAATCAAAACCACATTGAGATCCTACTTTATACCCATTTAGGATGGCTATTTTTTTAAAAAACAGAAAACAAATTTGGGAAGGGTATGGAGAAACTGGAACCACTGTGCGTTGCTGGTAGGGATGTAAAATGGAGAAGCAGCTGTGAAAAATAGTTTGGCAGTTTCTCAAAAAGTTAGATGTAGAATTACCGTATGATTCAACAATTCTACTCCTAGATATTTGCCCAGAAAAACTGAAAACGGGACTCAAACAGGTACTCGTCTGCAAATCTTCACAGCAGCATTATTTGTAATAGCCAAAAGGTAGAAACAGGTCTTCCTCAGCAGATGAATGGATTAAAAAAAGTGGTATATACATATAATAGAATAATATATTCAGCCATGGAAAGGAATTAAATTCTGATAACATGTCACATGGATGAACCTTGAGAATATTATGCTAAGTGAAATAAGCCAGATACAAAAGGACAAATATCATACAATTCCATGTTTATGAAGTACCTAGAATAGGCAAATTCACAGAGACAGATAATGGAATAATGGTTTTCAGGGGTTGGGGAAGGGGAGAATGGGGAGTTATTGTTTAATGGGTATTGAGTTTCAGCTTGGGATGACAAAGAGTTCTGGAAATGGATGGTGGTGATGGTTGCACAACTTTGTGAATGAACT
The DNA here is from genome assembly GCF_000001405.40 of Homo sapiens. NCBI lineage: Eukaryota > Metazoa > Chordata > Mammalia > Primates > Hominidae > Homo > Homo sapiens. The sequence continues at coordinate 176,234,121 of NC_000005.10, read as the reverse complement.
AATGCCGCCGAATTGTATATTTAAAATGGTTATAATGGTAAATTTTGTGTTACGTCTATTTTACCAAAATAGAACACACTATGTGCATGGTTTTCTTTTATAAAATTTAAAAGCATTACAGACAAGGCTAAAGGCCCCTTTTGCCACTTCCCCCATCCAGATTCGCAATTCCCCCTTTTCAGTGCTGTTATGTTTATTCCTCTAGAGCTGCTTCTGTGTATTTACCTGAATTCATGTGTACTTACTAAAATTAAATACATTTTTAGCTTTATCGAATAACATATCTGCTCTGGTATAGAGTTGTTTATTTTTGAGACGAAGTCTCACTCTATCGCCCAGGCTGCAGTGCAGTGGCACGATCTTGGCTCACCACAACCTCCGCCTCCTGGGTTCAAGCGATTCTCATGCCTCAGCCTCCCGAGTAGCTGGGAGTAGCTGGGCATGCACGCCACCATGCCCGGCTAATTTTTGTATTTTTTTTTTTTTTTCAGTAGAGACGGGGTTTCACTGTGTTGACCAGTCTGGTCTTGAACTCCTGACCTTGTGATCCGCCTGCCTTGGCCTCCCAAAGTGCTGGGATTACAGGAGTGAGCCACCGCACGCAGCCTGCTATTGAGATTTGAAACCATCATTTGTGGTAAAAACATTCTAAATACAAAGCTTCCTGCCTTATTAATGGGGATTTTTTTTTTTGGTGGTTATTCATCTTTAAAATAGTTTTTCTTTTTTCTATTTTTCATTACATGGCAGGGTCAGTGCCTGCAGACCCGCTTTTGTTTATGCTAAAGCCAGCTAGCTCAAGTTTCTCCCTGCTCTAGGGAACATTCTGTCCCTTCTGTGGGATTCCAGGTCTAATCTTCCAGTTTCAGGGCACTCTTAGCTTTTCCACTGGATTGCTTCAGCAGGCGGCCTCTCAGTTTACATAACTTTATTTAAATCATTTTCTTATACTTTCTCCCTGCTTCCTTCGCATCTTCAAATTTGCTGTGATATCAAGGCCTTTGTAAAAATTTTGTTTCATTCCCTATGTTTGAAGAATCCTCATTTGAGAAAGTTAAAGCAATTGAGAATGGTTACGAAGCAGAATGTGTAACTCCATCATATTTTGATAACATCTTTCTAGATATCTCTAAATGGCCGATACTCACATGTGCAAAATTTTTACATAAATGGGATCAGACTATGCATATTGCATCACAGTTGGTTTTCTTAAATTAATATGTCCTTATGGTTTTCTGTGTCAGTGAACATGGATCTATAGTATCCATATTGTCTATTGGCTCATATTTTAAAATAGCGTATTTGCTTTATATAGAAAACCACAAAGAAGCAAGCAAAAAAAATATACCACGTTCTCCCATTCTTGGTATCCCTCATTGAACAGTTTGTAAAACTAAAAGAAACATCTTGTGAGTTCAGTAAATTCTTGCTACCAAAACTTACAAAATGAAAAGTGAAAGTTGAAAGCCACCCTCTCTTTCCTAGTTCTTCTTCCTAACACTAAATACCTTTATTAGTTTCTTGTAAATCCTTCAAAACATACTTACTTACTACACATACTTATCTGTTCTGACACACCCTAAAAATCACACTGTACAGTTATTTACTTTGCTTTTTGTAATTTATCATGGGCATTATTTCCTAACTGCAGGGTAAACATATCTGTCACTTTTTAACAGCTTACATTAAAAAGTCATTTGTTAGGCTGTGCCATAATTTATTTAATTGGTTTTCTATCATGGATATTTTGGTTGTTTCTAGGGTTTTTGTGTATTTTTGTTATTACTATTACCAATTATGTTACAACAACATCTTTGAGCTTCTAAGAAGTCTTGCCACCATATCTGCAGGGAAATTCTTTTTTTTTTTTTTTTTGAGACGGAGTCTCATTCTGTCACCCAGGCTGGAGTGCAGTGGCACCATCTTGGCTCACTGCAAGCTCTGCCTCCCGAGCTCACACCATTCTCCTGCCTCAGCCTCCCGAGTAGCTGGGATTACAGGCGCCTGCCACCACGCCTGGCTAATTTTTTTTGGTATTTTTAGTAGAGACGGGCTTTCATCCTGTTAGCCAGGATGGTCTCGATCTCCTGACCTCGTGATCTGCCTGCCTTGGCCTCCCGAAGTGCTGGGATTACAGGCGTAAGCCACTGCACCTGACCCGGGAAATTCTTAAGCATGGGGGACTGGGTTAGAAGATGTGTGTTTTACATATTGATAGAAATTCCCAAATTGTCATCCAGAAAGGTTGCACCAAATAACGTATCAACAAAAGCACTTGGGAGTGCTTATTTCCCCAAATTCTTCAAGCACTGGTTATCAGACTTTTTAGTTGTTGCCAATCCAATAATTTAAGGTTGGTATCTTGTCCTGATTGCCTTTACTTCATTATGAGTGAAGTTATGACACTTTTAAAGTGCTCATTGGCTATTTGTAGCTTTTTCTTTAAACTGTGTTCATATACGTTGACTTTTTTCTCCTATGCTGTTCATCTTTTTCAGTAACAGTGAAATCTATATGAATAGCTAACATTTACAAAGTATTACATTGCTTGCATATTCAACAAGACACCAAATAATGAACATTTAGGATGTTTACAGTATTATCTTGCTGCTTTAAACATTCTTGCACATACATCTTTGTACTTTGGACCAGATATCTATCTGTTTAAGTTAAATTTCTAGAAGTGGAATTGCTGATTTAAAGTTGAATTATTTGTCCAAATGTTCCAAATAGCATTGTGTGATAGGGGAATGGTCCAAGTGAGGAAGTAGGAAAGAAAGGAACTAAACAGTTACTCCCAATTGCAAGGCCAGTCAGCTCTAAATTAGAGTTTAGTTAGCAGGCTAATTGATGATATCATCCTACCTGCTTTCATCAATAAGCTTTGTAAAATCCTAACTCTCTTTCTCTATTTGAGTGCCCAGACCTCCTGGGAGTCTGCAAATTCTAGGGTTAAAAAAAAAAAAAAAGAAAAAGTAATTTTGTAATTTTCAGGTGGGCAATAGTATTAAAAATTATAAGCACATTCTGAATCATTTTATGACCGTACAACTCCAACATTGGCTTTATATTTCTGTTTATAGTTGCCTGCATTGGTGCATAATGTTTTTGTCTTTTTTTTTTGAGACGGATCTTGCTCTGTCCCCCAGGCTGGAGTGCAGTGGCACCATCTCGGCTCACTGCAAGCTCCGCCTCCCCGGTTCACGCCATTCTCCTGTCTCAGCCTCCCAAGTAGCTGGGACTACAGGTGCTCGCCACCACACCTGGCTAATTTTTTGTATTTTTAGCAGAGACAGGGTTTTACCGTGTTAGCCAGGATGGTCTCGATCTCCTGACCTCGTGATCCGCCTGCCTTGGCCTCCCAAAGTGCTGGGATTACAGGCGTTAGCCACCGCGCCTGGCCAGGTGCATAATGTTTTAAGGCACTATGGTAGTTCATGAATTTTAACTAAGTGGAGGGACGTAGTGGGAGAATTGAGCCAGTTTACTCATGGGGCAGGTGGACTCCAGGGCAAGCAGAGCTCAAAAGAACCTGGGCAAAAGCAATCCTTTAAATTAGAAGAATGTAGGGAATGATTTGAGGGAGGATGAGTTGAACAAATCCTGTCTTTGTACAACTTGTTCATTAGCAGCAAGTGTAGTAGGAAACAATGACATTGTTTCACATTTCTGATTTGAGTAATAATTGGATTAGGACACCAATTCAAGCCAAATTGCATTAATGACCACAATGTCCACCTTAGTTTTACAGGAGTTACTGGGTAACTGCATAAAACCAGGCATTCCAGGATTGTTTGGAGGTGGTTTTGACCAAGTATGAGGTCTACCTTGAGGTAGCAAAGAACTGAAGTTATTAACACCATTTTGTACAGAATAATTATCTGAACATTTTCTGCATTCATGTTATTGACAAAATCAAATAGACAAAAGTTGGTGGGCTCTCTTGTTTTGTTCTAATATGCATTTAATTAATAACGATATATAAAATGCTATTTTTTCTTTGTTCCAATGTTACTTTCTTGTGAAAAAAGACATCCAAGACAAAAATCTACTACTCACATTAAGTTGTCCTTTGTCCTAGTTACCATTACATATTCAGTTTTACATATTTTAACAATATTGTGGTTAGACTTTGGATTTATACATTTCACTTAGCATACTGTGAATATTTTCCAATTTTGCAAATCTGTTTGTTATCTCCCTTTATGCTCTTCTTATACATTCTTTGTTGACCACCATCGTGACCACCATCACCAGGCAAATGTTTTGCCCAGGTATGTAAGCCTGTACATATTTCTCCATAATCATGTAAGCCTCTCCAAAGATATACAGACACATGTACACCACATAGAAATATATAAAATATATGTTAGAGATTGTGAATTTGTCATTTGCTTTTACTAAAGTGAGATCATAAACTATATTTCTTAACCACTTTTTTTTTGCTTAATTCATCCGGACAGCCACCAGATCAATACACTACAGATCCTACTTGTTTTAAATAGTGACATAGTTATTCCTACTGTAGAGGTACATGTTTATTTACTTTTTCCCCATTGATGGTCATTCAAGCTGTTTTCATGTTTTTTGTCATTACAGTGTCACAGTAAGTCTCAGATTCGACCTTACATTGTTAGGACTAGGATCACTAGATCAAAGGGTATGTATATTTTTGGTTTTAGTGTATAAGGCCATGTTACTTACTTTAAAAGGTTGTAGGTCATATCACCCAGTATCAATGTATGGACCTTATTTGGATCTCAGTTCAAACAAAATAGAAAAAGTATGACATTTACAAGACAGTTGGAAATTTGAACACAGCGTCAGGTGTGGTGGCTCATGCCTGTAATCCCAGGTCCTGGGGAGGCTGAGGTAGGAAGATCACTTGAGCCCAGGAGATCGAGGCTGCAGTGAGCTATGATTGTGCTACTGCGCTCCAGCCTGGGCAGGGAGCAAGACCCCGTCTCTTAAAAAAAAATTTGAACACTGCGTAGATGTTTCACTAAATTAAGGACTTTTTGGTTTTCTATTTTTAGATGTAATAATGGTCAAGAGACATTCTGAAATATTTATGGATAAAATAATTTGCTTCAGAAAGGTATCGGGGAGAGACAAGTGGATGGAAACAGGGATAAAATGAATGGCCTTGAATTGACAATTGTTGGAGCTGGTATAATGAGAGTCCATTATACCACTGTCTTCCTTTTAGATATTCTCCACAATAATAATTTTATAAAGCTGTAATAATTCACCCTATATTATCAATGTATGAGAAAAATGATTACCTTACATTTCCCTTGGTAATGGGTGTTACTACTTTTATTTTTGTCAATCTGATGTGTGCAAAGAGGTATTTGCTGCTATAATTTGTATTTACCTTACTGCTAGTGAGATTGATTATCTTGAGAAAGTGTAACACTTCCTTTTTGGCAGCTAGCAGTCAGGTTATGGTGTTCCCAAACAAACATAAAGAATACTTTCTAGAATATAAATGGGATATAGACAAGGCTACTGCATGACCATGTCTGGAACAAAATAGAGAAAAGCCATTTTGCAACCATGGAAACAATAAAACATTCTCCATTTCTGACTGGAGTGACTGCTGCTCATTTACCAATGACGACTGTAGTCTTACCTTAGTCCTACTTCCTAGATAAGAATTAAGATATCCCAGCCACTGCATTGCCCTAACTTATTAACAACCCTCAACTCACAGCTAATCCTCACTTCTCCAGCTTTTCTTGAAATAATCTAGTACAAGCCCAAATCCTATGAGAAGCCCCTTTCAATTCCTTGTTGAGACCTCTACAGTTCCTTTGGAGTGCTTTCCCCGCTCCTGCAGCAAGGTAAATAAACCAAACTATTTTCTACTATAGAAATGTTCCTGATGGCCTTCAGTCAGTGGGCTTTAAAACAATCTTTTTAAAGTTTGTCAATTTGGATTTCTTCTTCTTTGGAACATTTTCCCAATTCAGTGGGTAGTTTTGAAATTTTTCCTTTTGTCTGAGAGTCAGTTTCATTTTTACCTACCCTACTCTTTAAAAATATTTTTCTGGCCAGGCGTGGTAGCTGTAATCCCAGCAGTTAGGGAGGCCGAGGTGGATGGATCACCTGAGGTTAGGAGTTCAAGACTAGCCTGGCTAACGTGGTGAAACCTCGTCTCTACTAAAAATACAAAAATACAAAAATTAGCTGGGCGTGGTGGCGGGTGCCTGTAATCCCAGCTACTTGGGAGGCTGAGGCAGGAGAATCGCTTAAACCTGGGAAGTGGAGGTTGCAGTGAGCCAAGATTGCACCACTGCACTCCAGCCTGGGTGACAAGAGCCAGATTCCGTCTCAGAAAAAAAAAAAAGTTTTTGTGGGTACATAGGTGCATATATTTATGGGTTGCATCAGACTCTTTGATACAGGCATGCAATGTGTAACAATCACATCAGGGTAAATGGGGGTAAACCTCAAGCATTTATCCTTTGTGTTACAAACTCTCCAATTATACTCTTATGTAAAAATGTACAATTAAATGATTTTTGGCTATAGTCCCCCCGTTATGCTAGCAAATACTAGGTCTTATTCATTCTAACTACTCTTTTTGTACCTGTTAATCATCCCCACTTCCTCCCAACCCCTGTTCTTTTCTAGGATCCATGTGTACTACCTAGAAGAAGTAAAAGATAAGGATTCCCATTCAGGTTAGATCACTCCAGGTTTGATGACGTTAGCAAGTATTTTCAGGGTTTTGTGAGTTCTCCAGTAAGGCTACTGGGGGTTGAGGCTGCAGTGTTGCTAAGTTGGACCTCCTTTTGCTCTAGACTCTCTTCTTAACTACCGATCTAGTTTGGCGATGCTGATAATGTGCGTGTTCAACGTGTGTGTGTGTGCGCTCACACGCGTGTGTGTGTGAGTGCATCTACCACTTATTGCTCATTTGGTAAGGTATTGAGGGAGAAAATTGCTAATACAATTTCATTTCATCATCTTATCAGAAGTCTGATATTTCTATTTTATTTTGATTTATATATTTACAAGCGCTTATGTGAGATATATAAAAATTCAAGTTAATTGTTATTTTACTGGTATGAAATATCACCATTTGTCCCTTTTAGTGCCTTTCATCTTGAGTCGTTGGTTACATAATATTATAACATACATAACAATTCTTTGATGTGCTGGGAAAATATTGATATTTAAGCCCACCTGTTTTTATCCAGTATGTAACTCTTTCACCATTCAGATAACTAGACGGAGTCATCCTTTGCCTTAAAGAAGATTGTCACAGTGGAACCAGAATACAAAAAGATACATTCTTGGCTTGTGAATGTCAAAGCTGGGGCTCAGGTATAAGATATTCGGAGCCAGTTTCTTCCCCCTCAGAGTGAGTCATGTTGCTTGCTCTATTAGTTCTATTTCCTTAGATGTGACTTCTCTCCTTCGTGCGGGGTGGTGTTTCTCATTTTTAGTGTTAGAGTTTTCCTCAAATATTTTGTCATTCTTGGTTGGGTGTTTGTCTTAATTTTTGAAGTTCCCTGTTAGCTCACATGTGAGTGCTGGATTTTTTCATAGCACCTTGTTGCCAGTAATTTCAGGAAAGAATTTGGACTTGCAATGGGATAGGGTTTGTTAGCATCCAGTCTTCTGGGACAGGCATGTGTGTGTGTTGGGGGAAACCACATAGTTACCATGGGCACTGCAACGCCCTGCCTCTCTGGCTCAGATGCTCACACTCGCACTTACTGCTCTTAAGCTTCTGCTGCCAGTTGCTTTGCAAACGCTGGAGAAGGTTACTCTTAGGTGCCCAGGGCTCAATCCTGTTTCCTCATATCTGCTGCTCCTGAGGTTGGAGATCCATCAAGTTGATCTTACCTTTTGTTGCGATTTTCTCCTCTGGATGTTTTAGATTATGATTTTCTCCTTCAATCTGACACCATTTGCTCTCCATTTTTCTGGGATTTCCTTCTAATTCCTGCAGACTAATGATTACCAACATATCAGGCCTCAACACTATTCTAATCAATTTTCTCTCCTTCACACACTTCCTGAGAGAGTCATCTACATTAGCAGGCTCCATTTTCTAGCCTCATATTCACTTCTCAACCCACCCCAATCTAGCTCCCACTCCTCATTAGTCAGCAGAGATAGTGCTCACTCAGGTCCCCTGACCTCTGTGGTGGTTTTAAAACGTGTCCACAAATTCCTTAGAAGTCCCTCCTTCAAAAGGCAGGTCTAATTTCCCTCCCTTTAATTGTGGGTTGTACTTGGTTGACTTGCGTATGATAAATAGAATGTGTCAGAAGTGATGGTGGGTGATTTCCAAGTCTGGGTTGAAAAAGGCAATGTGACTTCAACGTTTCTCTCCTGCATAGATTGCCTACTCTGGGAGAGCCAGGTGTGAGTGGGCCTTGGTGGATGAGGATCCTCCAGGCCTACTGGCCTTTTAGATGGCTGCAGCCTCATGAGACACTGGGCCCAAATCACTCAGCTGAGCAGCTCCTGGATCCTTCAGTTTCAGAAACTGCATGAGTATCTTAATCTGTTCATGCTTCTGTGACAGAATACCTAAGACTGGGTCATTTATAAAGAACAGAAATTCATTTCCTCACTGTTTCTGGAGGCTGGGAAATCCAAGATCAAGGTGCCAGCACGGGTACGTGGTGAGGGCCTTCTTGCTGCATCCTCTGGGAGAGAGGAATACTGTGTCCTCACATGGTTGAAGAGGAGAAGAGAGAGCTAAGCAAATGCTGCAAGAAGCCTCCTTTATAAGGGCCTCAATCCCATTAATGAGAGAGGAAACTTCATGGCCTAATCATCTCATAAACACCCCACCCCTTCATACTGTCACATTGGCAACACCTGAATTTTGGAGGGGACGCATTCAAACCACAGCAATCAGTTAATATATATTTGTTGTTGTAAGGTGCTGAAGTTTAGGGTAATTTGTTACACAGCAATAGATAAGGAATACAACCTACACATTGTTATATCTAAAGGATGCCGTGACTTCTGGGCAGCATTTGACACTGTTGACCTCTCCCTCTCTGAAACACTCTTCCTTTTAATTCCACCACACTACATTCTTCTACCTCCCCAATCCTTCCTTCTCATTCCTTTGCCTGTTCTTTCTCCTCTACAGTCATTTCAGTGATGAGCTCTTTAAAGTCTTCTTCTCTTTTCAATCTAATCTTTCTCAGAGTTCTCACTCAGCCTCTCAGTAAATTTGCAGTTGACAGTTTCTTCATCCAACCCAGACGTCTTCCCAGAACAATTCACCTACATTTGAAACTGTTCGCTCAGCATTATCCTTCATCACCCCCAAAGCACCTCAGTCTCTACTCAGAAAACAAATCATCTTTCCCTCAAAACTTGGTTCTCTTTCTGTGTTTTCTATTTCAGTGAATAACACTACCACCATCTATCCAGTTGCTTATAGCCCGCCATGCACCTCTCTCTCCTTAACCACGTATCTAATCCATTTCCAAGCCTGCTTAACTCCTGCATCATCTCTTAAATCTCCTCTGCTATCCAAGCCATGATTCTTTGTCACCAGGACTCTTATTGTAGCCTTCAAACCTATTCCCTTACATCTACCCTCGGCCCATCTCCTGTCCATTGTCCATACTATTGCTTGAGGGATATTTTCAAAACACAAATCTGATCATGTTTCTTTTCTTTTTTAAATGTCTTTTTGTTCTGCTTTAATGCATTTAAAGGCTTTAATCATCTCCTATCAGTCTTTGACTAAAACCCCCAAATCCTTAAGATGACCTGCCAGTCTCTGTCTTCTTATCACAGCCTACATCTCTAGTCTCATTGTGCCACACTCCCCACTTGCTCCCTGAAATTCAGCCATAGTGACCCTTCTAACATGGTATGTTCCCCCTTGACCCAGGCAGGGCCTTTATGGGAGCCTCTATGAAATGCTTAGTCCCTGGCAGATCTCAGCACAGCATCCCTAGGTCATGGAAAACTCTCCAAACCTCCAATCTATGTCAAGAACATATCTTACAACTTTCTGGAGAATTGGGGCCCTTTTCTCTAGGTCATAGCCTAAGTTAATAATTGGGCCTAGAGGTGGTACCTTTGATTAACATTTGCCCCTCCCTCTTCAACTGTGAGTGCCGCGAGAGCGTGGAGAATGCCCAACTGTGAACACTGTTGCAGCTCAGTGCCCGGCACAGGGTCCAATAACCTCGTAGACATTTGATGAATATTTGGGACTGACTGTTCCTTGAAAATTCGAAAGGACTTGCACATAAAAATCTTTGGTCTGGTGCCTTTTTATGGAATGTTTCTTTCAGTACTTGTTTTTCAAAGTTTTTTTTTTTTAACTTCTGATTTTATGGTTCTTCTTGAACCAATTTTGGTAATTCATATTTTCTCAAAACATGTCTGATTCAAGACTTACACATTCATCAGGAAAGAATTGTACAAACTATCTTATTATAATGGGGGAAATCACATTTGTGGTTTAATCTCTTCTTGTTTTTTATATGGTATATTTATACCCCAACCCACTTTAGGCTTAGTGTGAGCTTGTCTATGTCATTGCTTTGATATTTTTCCTTTAAGAACCAGATTCTCTCTTTGTAATTTACAGTTAGAAAGTTATGTAATTTTTATAGCCTTTCTTAAAACAGCTTTGTTGAGGCACAGTTTACATACCACAATATTTACACATGTTACGTGTTATAATTTAATGATTTTTAGTATATTTATAGGGTTGTGTAACCACCATCACAATCAAGTTTTAGAACATTTTGATCACCCCCCAAAAATCCCCTGCTTTTGTTTATTTGTAACCAATCCCTATTCCTACCCATAGGTTCAGGCAACTGCTAATCTGCTTTCTGTCTCTAGGTTTAATGCTTCGTCTGGACATTTCATATACATGAAATCATATAATATCTGATCTTTTGCATCGGGCTTCTTTCATTCAATGTACTGGTTTTGAGGTCATCCATGTTGTGGCATGTATCAATATATCATTTCTTTTTTTGTTGTTGTTGAGACAGAGTGTCGCTCTGTTGCCCAGGCTGTAGTGCAGTGGCGTGATCTCAGCTCACTGCAAGCTCCACCTCCTAGGTTCACACCATTCTCCTGCCTCAGCCTCCCACGTAGCTGGGACTGCAGGGCCCACCACCACACCCGGCTAATTTTTTTTGTATTTTTGGTAGAGACAGGGTTTCACCATGTTAGCCAGGATGGTCTTGATCTCCTGACATTGTGATCCACCCGTCTCGGCCTCCCAAAGTGCTGGGATTACAGGTGTGAGCCACTGCGCCAGGCCCTTTTATTTCTTAATAGTATTCTATTGTATAGATAGACTGCATTTCACTTGTCTGTTTACCAGTAGATTAACATTTGGTTCTTTCCACTTTTTGGCTGTATGAATAATGCTGCTGTGAACATCCCTGTGCAAGTCCATGTGGACATATAATTTCATTTCTCTTTATTACCTAGGAATGGAATGGCTGGGTAATATGGTAAATTTGTGATTAACCTTTTAAAACGCCACCAGACTGTTATTTCACATTCCCATTGAGAGGTGACAGCGTGCTGGCAGTCCTCACAGCCCTCGCTCGCTCTCGGCGCCTCCTCTGCCTGGGCTCCCACTTTGGCGGCACTTGAGGAGCCCTTCAGCCCACCGCTGCACTGTGGGAGCCCCTTTCTAGGCTGGCCAAGGCCGGAGCCCACTCCCTCAGCTTGCAGGGAGGTGTGGAGGGAGAGGCGCGAGCAGGAACTGGGGCTGCGTGCGGCGCTTGCGGGCCAGCTGGAGTTCCGGGTAGGCGTGGGCTTGGCGGGCCCCGCACTCCGAGCAGCCAGCCGGCCCTGCCGGCCCCGGGCAATGAGGGACTTAGCACCCGCGCCAGCGGCTGCGGAGGGTGTACTGGGTCCCCCAGCAGTGCCAGCCCACCGGCGCTGCGCTCGATTTTTCGCCGGGCCTTAGCTGCCTTCCCGCGGGGCAGGCCTCGGGACTGCAGCCCGCCATGCCTGAGCCTTCCCCCGCCTCCGTGGGCTCCTGTGCAGCCCAAGCCTCCCCGACGAGCACCGCCCCCTGCTCCACAGCGCCCAGTCCCATCGATCACCCAAGGGCTGAGGAGTGCGAGCACATGGCGCGGGACTGGCAGGCAGCTCCACCTGCAGCCCCGGTGCGGGATCCACTGGGTGAAGCCAGCTGGGCTCTTGAGTCTGGTGGGGACATGGAGAACCTTTATGTCTAGCTCAGGGATTGTAAATACACCAGTCGGCACTCTGTATCTAGCTACTGTGGTGGGGCCTTGGAGCACCCTGTGTCTAGCTCAGGGATTGTAAATACACCAATCGGCACTGTGTATCTAGCTCAAGGTTTGTAAACACACCAATCAGCACCCTGTGTCTAGCTCAGGGTTTATGAGTGCACCAATCGACACTCTGTATCTAGCTGCTCTGGTGGGGTCTTGGAGAACATTTATGTCTAGCTCAGGGATTGTAAATACACCAGTTGGCACTCTGTATCTAGCTCAAGGTTTGTAAACACACCAATCAGCACCCTGTGTTTAGCTCAGGGTTTGTGAGTGCACCAATCCACACTCTGTATCTAGCTGCTCTGGTGGGGCCTTGGAGAACCTTTTTGTGGATACTTTGTATCTAACTAATCTGATGGAGACGTGGAGAACCTTTGTGTCTAGCTCGGGGATTGTAAATGCACCAATCAGCGCCCTGTCAAAACAGACCACTGGGCTCTACCAATCAGCAGGACGTGGGTGGGGCCAGATAAGAGAATAAAAGCAGGCTGCCCCAGCCAGCAGTGGCAACCCGCTCGGGTGCCCTTACACATTGTGGAAGCTTTGTTCTTTCACTCTTTGCTTTAAATCTTGCTGCTGCTCACTCTTTGGGTCCACACTGCTTTTATGAGCTGTAACACTCACCGCAAAAGTCTGCAGCTTCACTCTTGAAGCCAGCGAGACCAGGAGCCCACCAGGAGGACGAACAACTCCAGGTGCGCTGCCTTAAGAGCTATAACACTCACCGCAATGGTCTGCAGCTTTACTCCTGAGCCAGCGAGACCCCGAACCCACCAGAAGGAAGAAACTCCGAACACATCCAAATATCAAAAGGAACAAACTCCAGACGCGCCACCTTAAGAGCTGTACCACTCACCGCGAGGGTCCGCGGCTTCATTCTTGAAGTCAGTGAGACCAAGAACGCACCAATTCTGGACACACCATGAGCAGTGTTGAGGTATGATTTACCTACCACAACCTCACCAATACTTGTCACTTTTTCTGTGAAAGGTCAGATAGTAAATATTTTAGAATGTGCAGACCACTGTGGTCTCTAGCAGCTACTCAATTCTGCCATGATAGTGTAAAAGCAGGCATAGACCATACATTATAAATAAATGGGAGGGCTGTATTGCAATAAAACTTTATTATACAGAAACAGGTGGTTCTGTAATTTACCAACGTCTTACCTAATTATAGCTATTCCAGTGGTAGCTCATTATGGCTTTAATTTGCATTTCTCTAATGACTAATGATGTCAAGCATCTACTCGTGTGCTTGTTAACAGTTTGTATATCTTCCTCGGTGAAATGTTTGTTCAAATATTTTACCCATATTTTAATTGAATTGTGTACTTATCATTGCGTTATGAGAGGCCTTTATATATTCTAGATACAAGTCCTTGATCAGGTATATGATTTGCAAATATTTTTTCTAGTCTGATTTTTCTTTTCATTTTCTAAGTGATGTCTTCTTAAGAGCAAACATTTTTTAAATGTTTCTGCAGTTTAATTTATCAGATTTTTCTTTATGCATTAGGCTTTTGAAGGACTCAGTCTAATCTGTCATGGGTGAGCAGTAACTATCTGGGGCTGGTGGTGTGGTAAAAAGAGTTTACCAAGACAGTTGCAGGTAAAGAAAGGCAGATGTATTAGAGAAAGTAGGAAGATACATTGCAAGGAAGCAACAGGCAAGTTTGCAAGAGAGAAGCTAACTACAAGGAGACAAAGGCTTGCTGGGGATTTTACAGGGTGATGCTTGTGCTGTGTGCTGAAGGGGTCTTTGTGCAGTATTGATAACACCAAGGTTCCAGTGAGCTAACCTGCAGTTTTCTGTCAGCCGAGGGTCTGTTGATAGGTGCAGGAAGACTGTGAGTTATTTGCCCAAGAGGGCTACGTGTCCTGCACCATGAAGAAAGGCAAACTTACAGCTTATCTGCCTTCTCTTTTTGCTTTCCCTTAGTCCCACCAGCCTGACTCCTTTTCCCTAATTAAGACTCTACATTTTCTTGCTGACAGAGCAATAGTGACAAATCTTTGTCATGTGGGTGAAGGTCTCATCTTCCAACTGCTTCCTGCTGACCAGGGGCATAGAGTTGGCCCTACCTAGGATTACTGGCCTGTTAGGAGGTTATATGGGCCTAAACCCCGGAGTTGGGACTTGAATTGAGCAGGGTGACTGTGGGACTATGGGGGAACAGCATTTATTTAGCAGCCTAAAATTTTGTCCTGCTGTGTTTAAAGGAGAGTTAATGGAGTACCCTTAATGGCTGATACCATTGCTGCAGTAACATTTTGGTTTGAAATTGTTGTATTCTAGAAGACACAAAATGAGATATTGCATTAACAATGAATGGTACAAATGAACTCCTATGAGCATTATTACAGGTGGGAGAAGTGGGGTCTGACAGATAAAGATTTCTAAATATTAATGGGATAAGGGAAAATTGAGAAAAAGATGTAGATGTATTAGTGAGGATGAGGAGTTGTCTAGTCTTGACCCCTATTCCTATATATTCCATCCCCGTTGCTGAATTGTTTATAGGCATAAAGTCATCATCATCAATCTTGCAGGCATTAACTTTGTTGTTTCCCCGCAATAGAGAAAGCCTGTGGGCGTCCACAGTGAGCTGATCAGAGTCGTCATATGGCACCTGTTCCTGGTGTACCTGATTATAGTTCAGGGCAGAATTGCAATGCACTTGTGTTAAAGCCCCTAGGAAAGGGCCGAACCCCTTGGAGTTTCTAATGCAGAGGTTTGCCTTACGGCCATCTCTGATGCCTTCCCGATCCACTTTGTCATGGTGGATGATTGCCATGAGGCATCCATTGGCCTAGGTCCCCCTCTTAAACCTGCGTTTTTGGTGTGTGTGTAAGTGGTGTAGTCGAATCCAGACTATTGGGCTTGTATGTTAACAATTTCTTCTATAGATAGTGCAACAGCTAGGAAGGAGTGTAATGTCATCCTCAAGTGCCTGCTTGTGTGGGCATATTCAGCAGTCAGTATTGTGTGTTACGTTAGCAACTTGAGATATTACTGGGTAGAGTGGGTGCTTGGGTGCAGCCATTGAGGCAGTAGCTAGCTATGATAGAGTAAAAACAGAATCATATTTAAGGAAAATGACAATATATGGTAAACTTAGGAAGGCAGGAAAGAAGATGGGCTGTAAAGAGTATGAGAAAAACAGTTAAATACTAGTACTTCAGCACATTGAAGTTGTGGTGGGGGTAAATAACATCACTAGGACAAATATAAAGAAGTTTCATCTGGGTGATAGTTTTGGAGGTTCCTCTGCAAATAGCAATCGTGTACTATCTCCCTTATAAAAGCATTAATATCAAGAGGGTGAAGCTGCTTAACAGGCAGTTGGAGAATTACTGAGATCCTGTGGTAGAACTGAATGCAAAGAGTTCGCTTTAAGAAGATTTAGCCCAGCACGGTGGCTCATGCCTGTAATTCCAGCACTTTGGGAGGCTGACGCTGATGGAGCACTTGCAGCCAGGAGTTCGAGACCAGCCTGGCCAACATGGTGAAATCCCATCTCTACTAAAAATACAAAAATTAGCCGGGCTTGGTGGCACATGCCTGTAATCACAGCTACTCAGGAGGCTGAGGCAGGAGAATCGCTTGAACTCAGGAGGTGGAGGTTGCAGTGAGCTGAGATGGCGCCACTGCAGTCCAGCCTGGGTGACAGAGACTCTGTCTCAAAACAAGACAAAACAGATTTAAAAGAGGTGCTGGATTTATTTCCATCAACTTTAAGGGAGGTTAAAAAATTCTAGGTTGTTTGGTTTAACAAAACTTCTTTAACCTTTTTTTTTCTTAACTTTAAAAGAGTTTCCAGTGTTTACATTCTAGTTAGACCATAAATAATGAGTCTTATCTCAGCAGCAGCAGCTTAGTAACAGCAGTTCTAAAGCAGGAAGAAAAAAAAGGAAAATCGAGAGCTTTAGAAGACTGTTTAACTCTGTAGTGCAAGTTAAATATTTGAGCTCTGAATTTTTTTTTTTTTGTAATTTGCCCATTAGTTTAAAATGTGCACAAAAACAGCATAATATGTAAGCAGCTGGAGTTTTAAAGAGAACAATAAAATCGGGCTAGGATGTTACAAACTGTTTTTTCCCATTTAAGGTTAGACTCCTGGATTGAACAGAAAAAGAGAAAAAGAAAAGAAAGGAATAGAGGAAAAGGTTAAGCTTTACAGGATGGCTTTTGAGCCTGCAGCCACTGGACAGTGCAGGGCAGCATCCCTACCCCTCTCGCTCATTTCCTATCAGGGAGAGCCTTAGCACCCCAGACCTACACAGTATGGGATGAATTCCTCCTACCTCCACAAGCCACCAGTTAAAGTGAGCTGTCTCCAGCGGGAGCAGAGAGCCCCTTCAGCTTAAGGCCATCAGGGGTCAGGATTCTGTTCCAGGGGCCCTTCGGTCCTCAGTGCAGTCCCTTTTCCAGCGGCCGAGCTTATGGGTTGGGGTAAGCCATGTGGGTTTTTTTCCCATTTATCCCATTAGGGCAGTTTGCCTGTTAGTGGCCTAGCCTTTTGTACCAATGACAGTTATTTGGAGGAGTGTTCTTAGGGAAACCTGGAGGGGGCTGAGGGCTTGTAAAGCAGCCAAGAGCTGAGCCTGCCTTTTGTCCCTATGGTTTTCTTTCTTTTTAGCCCTGTCCTCCTTATTCTGCTTTTGGCTATGAAAGACTGAGGAGGCTAATTTGAGGATTTTCTGCACAGGGGCTATGCTGTATTACACAAGAAAATTAGACGTTTCTTCTTGAGAGTCTAAAGGTTAAATTTCTCCAGTGTTTTAGAATGCAGCCTAGAGGTGAGGCTAAAGGAATAGATGGGGTTTATCCCATGATGGGACTGGAAAACATGCTGCTTGGGGCTATTTGAACCGCGCATTCTCTCTGGATATCCTGCCAAGATGAAAAGGGCTCCACTTATGTCTGCTGAGGGACTCAGGGTACACTTTCTAAAGGGGCCTCCCACCGTTAGAAAAGACCTCTCGGCTGCTCAGGGGCTTTACAATCGGTGGCCAGTCCAGGTACTGACACTGGGTGATCAGCCCAGGTATGAGGAAAAAGGGTAAAGGAAGAACTCAGCCTGGTGCCAGTCAGAAGAGCGGGTGGATAAGGGAAGACTCATTGTTCTGAGGCTGTCTGGATCACCTGATTTAGCAAAGTCCTGAACAAGATGGATAATTCAGAGCGAGAAAGAGAGGGTACAAGTCACCCAAAATGCGTGTGAATTTGCTCTGAACGAGCTTCTGCTGTCAGTTGTGTCACACGTAGGGTTTAGGGACTTTTGACCAGAAAAGATAGGAGAGAGCTTTCCTTCCTGTTGGGCAGGGCACTCAGCCCTATTCACCCTTTGGCCTTCAGACAACACCAGAGAGTGGCCCTGGCCAGTTGCCATCAATTGTCGGATACTAGAAGCCAGCTGCTGGGAGACTGAAAAGTGAAAGTAAATTTAGGTCCTTCACCTGAACCTGGTGGTGGGTCAAACGCTTCCACATGGACACCTGTCAGTCCCACTGGAGTGTAGGTCTGGCCAGAGACCTTTAGTTGTCTCTGTGCTCAGATGTTGGCCACCAAGGATCACAAGTTGGGAAAGAGAATGGAGAGGATTCCCTGTAAGGAGAGAGAGTCCTTATATGGGCCACCAAAATGTCATGGGTGAGTGGTGACTATCTGGGGCTGGTGGCGTGATGGTTCAAAGAATTTACCAAGACAGTTGTAGGTTAAGAAAGGCTGATTTATTAGAGAAAGTAGGAAAATATGTTGCAAGGAAGCAATGGGCAAGTTAGCAAGTGTGGAGGTAACTGCAAGGAAACAAAGGCCTGCTGGGGATTTTATAGGATGGCGCTTGTGCTGTGTACTGAAGAGGGCTTTGTGTATACTGATAACACCAACGTTGCAGTGAACTAAATTGCATTTTTCTATCAGCTGAGGGTCTGGTGATAGCTGGGTGCAGGAAGATTGTGAGTTATTTGCTCAGGAGGGCTGTGTGTCCTGGACCATGAAGAAAGGAAAACTTATAGCTTATCTGCTTTTTCTTGTTGCTTTCCCTCAATCCCACCAGCCTGATTCCTTTTCCCTAATTAGGACTCCACATAATCCAGGGTCACAGGATTATTTTCTTCTAAACATGTTGTAATTTTAGGTTTTTAATTTTTTTGGAATGGAGTCTCACTTGGTTGCCCAGGCTGGAGTACAGTGGCATGAGCTCAGCTAACTGCAATCTCCGCCTCCCGGGTTCAAGCAATTCTTATGCCTCAGCCTCCCAAGTACCTGGGACTATAGGCGCACGCCACCATGCCTGGCTAATTTTTGTATTTTTAGTAGAGATGGGGTTTTACCACATTGGCCAGGCTGGTCTTGAAGTCCTGACCTTGTGATCTGCCCACCTCAGCCTCCCAAAGTGCTGGGATTACAGGCGTGAGCCACTGCACCCTGCCTGTAATTTTAGTTCTTATATGTAGATCTGTGACTCTTTTTAAGCTATTTTTTTATTTATTGATCATTCTTGGGTGTTTCTCGGAGAGGCGGATGTGGCAGGATCATAGGATAATAGTGGAGAGAAGGTCAGCAGATAAACACGTGAACAAAGGTCTCTGGTTTTCCTAGGCAGAGGTCCCTGTGGCCTTCCGCAGTGTTTGTGTCCCTGGGTCCTTGAGATTAGGGAGTGGTGATGACACTTAACGAGCATGCTGCCTTCAGGCATCTGTTTAACAAAGCACATCTTGCACCGCCCTTAATCCATTTAACCCTGAGTTGGCACAGCACATGTTTCAGAGAGCATGGGGTTCAGGGTAAGGTTATAGATTAACAGCATCCCAAGGCAGAAGAATTTTTCTTAGTACAGAACAAAATGGAGTCTCCTATGTCTACTTCTTTCTACACAGACACAGTAACAATCTGATCTCTTTCTTTTCCCCACATTTCCCCCTTTCTTTTAGACAAAACCACCATCATCATCATGGCCTGTTCTCGATGGTCGCTGTCTCTTCAGGGCTGTTGGGTACACCTCCCAGATGGGGCGGCCGGGCAGAGGCACTCCTCACTTCCCAGACGGGGTGGCCAGGCAGGGGCGCTCCTCACTTCCCAGATGGGGTGGCGGCTGGGCAGAGGCGCTCCTCACTTCCCAGACAGGGCGGCCGGGCAGAGGCGCTCCTCACTTCCCAGACGGGGTGGCCGGGCAGAGGCACTCCCCACTTCCCAGACGGGGTGGCGGCCGGGCAGAGGCGCTCCTCACTTCCCAGATGGGTGGCCGGGCAGAGGCGCTCCTCACTTCCCAGATGGGGCGGCTGGGCAGAGACGCTCCTCATTTCCCAGATGGGGCGGCCGGGCAGAGGTGCTCCTCACATCTCAGTTTTTGAGCTGTTTTTAATGACTAGTGTGAAGTACCTAAATTTATCTTTTTGCATGTGAATATTGTCCCACACCGTTTGTTGAAAATAATATTCTTTCCAGTTTGAATTTTTCTGGCAGCTTTGTTGAAAATCAGTTGGCCATAAATGTTGAGTTTATTTTTGAGCTCTCAATTCTGTTTAATTGATCTATATGTCAATCCCTATGCCAGTACACTCTCCTGATTTTTTTTTTTCTTTTTCTAGACAGTCTTGCTCTGTTGCCTAGGCTGGAGTACCGTGGTGTGATCATAGCTCACTACAGCCTTGAAGTCCTGGGCTCAAGTGATCCTCCCACCTTAACCTCCCAAGTAGCTGATACTATAAGCATGAGCCATCGTGCCCAGCCTGTCCTTATTTTTGTAGATTTATAATATGTTTTGAAATTAGGAACTGTAAGTCCTCCAACTTTGTTCTTTTTCAAAATTGTTTTGGCTATTCTAGGTTATTTGTATTTTCATATCAATTTTAGGATCAGCTTGTTAATTCCTGTGAAAAAGGCAGGTGGGATTTTGAAAGGATTGCATTGAAGCTATAGATCAATTTGGGGAGAATTGTCATCTTAACAAGATTGAGTTTTCCAATCTGTAAATATGGATGTCCCCTCATTTATTTAAATCTTCTTTAATTTCTCTCAGCACCAGTTTTAGTGTATAAAAGTTTTATTGTATCAAAGAAGTGCATTTTTTGTAAAATTTATCCCTAAGCATTTTATTGTATTGATACTATTATGAATGGAATTATTTTTTAAATTTCATTTTTGAATTGTTCATTGCTGGTATATAGAAAAATAATCGATTTTTGTGTATTGATCTTATGTTTTGTGACCTTGCTGGAATTACGTATATCCTACTGTTTATTTAGCTGGGTGGTTTTGCTGTCAGTGCTGGTGTTCCTAGTTCACTCAGAAGCCCCTTTGCTCTGATCCCGACAATTTCCAGTGCCATTTCTACTGTCAGTAATGAACCCACAATTGTCTGCAGACTGCACAGCCTCATCTGCAGCTGAGGCAGAGTCAGCCCTTTCTCCTTGTCCTGCTTTTCAGCAGGGTTGGAAATGCACAGTCTGGGATGCTTCTTACGGGGGATAGCCTGAGATGCTGGAGGAGTCAGTGGTTGTCATTGGGCAGCAACCACTCTGGCCCTCTTCTGTACTTCAGCAGTCCTAGGATCTGGGTCCCCTGGTACCTGGGGGTTCTTAGATCTTGTTCCAGATCCCTACTCCAGCTCTCTGAGGATTGGGGGACTCTGCCTGGCACTGTAAATTTATAGAATGTACCTTCTTTTGACAAGATCTGTTTCTCTGGGGGAAGATGAGGGCTGGACACTTTTCCTACCTTGTTCCTGACTATTTTCTGACAGATTTCCTTAGTGTTCTATTCTGCAGCCAGTTCCCCCTGCCCCCCTCTTAGGACCTGAGTCCTTACTGTCCCCCATCTAAGTTGATACCAGCCTGTGGTTGTTGCTTTTCTTTTCTGGGAGCTCCTGTGTTTTGGTCACTGGTAGCTGTGGCTGACACTTGAGCAGCTTTTTGTTTGGGAAGTTAGCAATTGTGTTCCTGAGGTAAGTAAGGCAGATGGGCAACTGTGGGCTCTCCCCAGGGCTGGGTATTAGCATTGCAAATATGGCTCTTTGGTTCTAGTTAGTAAGGTGATGCCCAGGAAGGGAAGGAATTGTGCCAACCAAGGAAAGGTTCTCATTTGTACTTTCCCATCCAGCAGGAGGTTTTCAAAACATAGCATCTGTCTTAAAAGGCTCTTGTGTGCTCTAATCATCATCATTACTTTTATAATCAT